>NC_000012.12:30596638-30749333 GCF_000001405.40 Homo sapiens | reverse complement strand
CCCCTCTGGTGGTAAAATGTCCTTAGTGTGTCTACAAAGCCCTACAGAATATCCTTCCCACTTCCTTTGACATTTTGACTCCATTTCTTGCTCTTCTTTCCCTCGCTAGCTCCATTCTAGCTACCCTAGCCTCCTTGCTGCTCCTCAGACATCCCAGGCACACTTCTGCAGGGTTTTTTGCACGTGATATTCCTACTGCTTGGGATGTTCTTTCTCCAGATGTTTCAGTGGCTCAATTCCCAACCTCCTTCAGCCTTTTATTTGAAGGTACCCACAGTGAGATCTGTTCTCACCTCACTATACCTCCACTTCCCCATTCACACTGCTTAGCTCCTTTCCTTGCTTAATTTTTCTTAATAGAAGTTAGCACTTCTCTGACAAGCTATGAAGTTTTATTTTGTCTGTTTCCTACCCTTACAATGTAAGTTCCATGAAAGTAAGGATTTTGTCTGTTCATTGCTGTATTCCTAGTGCGTAGAATAGAGTGTAGCATGTAGTAGGTATATAAAATATTTATTACATATAGATTTACTAAGTATAAAATGAATGTTAGGTCTTTAGATGTAACTAAGCACGTAGTTGGTGGTACTTTTGAGAAATCACACCTCATACATGCAATATATAAGGTAGAAAATTTAGAAAATGCAGATAAGTCAGAAGGAAAAAAAAATAGAATCTTCAGAGAATTGTTACCAGTATAGGCATACCTCAGAGATATTATGGGTTCTGTTTCAGACCACCATGATAAAGTGAAGATTGCAATAAAGCAAGTCACACAAATTTTTGGTTTCCCAGTGCATGTAAAAGTTACATTTGTCCTATACTGTAGTCTGTTAAGTGTGCAGTAGCACTGTGTCAAAAAGAAGGTACACACCTTGATTAAAAATTATTTTATTGCTAAAAAATGCTAATAGTCATCTGAGCCTTCAGTGAGTTGTAATCTTTTTGCTGGTTGAGGAGGGTGTTGCCTCAGTGTTGATTACTGCTGACAGATCAGGGTGGTGGTTGCTGAAGGTTGCAGCGGCTGTGGCAGTTTCTTAAGACAACAGTGAAATTAGCCACGTTGATGGACTCTCTTTCATGAAAGATGTCTCTGTAGTATGTGATGCTGTTAGATAGGATTTTACCCACAGTAGGACTTTTTTCAAAATTGGAGTCAGTCTTTGGAACCCTGCTGCTGCTTTATCAACTATGAGTCTATGTAAAATTCTAAAGGTTTTGTTGTCATTTCAACAATGTTCATAATATCTTTACCAGTAGAGTCTATCTCAAGAAATCACTTTCTTTGCTCATTCATAAGAAGCAACTCCTCATCTATTAAAAGTTTATCCTGAGATTGCAGCAGTTAGTCATATCTTCAGGCTCTACTTGTAGTTCTCTTGCTATTTTCACCACATCTGCAGTTACTTCCTCTGCTGAAGTTCTGAACCCCCTCAGAGTCATCCACGAGTGTTAGAGTCAGCTTTTCCCAAACTCCTGTTCATGTTGATATTTTGACATCCTCCCATGAATCACAAATGTTCTTAATGACATCTAGAATGTAGGGAATATTTTCCAGAAACTTTTCAATTTACTTTGCCCGGATCTATTAGACAAATCACTATCTATGGCAGCTCTAGCCTTATCTAAATGTGTTTCTTTTCTTTTTTTTTTTTTGAGACGGTGTTTGGCTCTTGTTGTCCAGGCTGGAGTACAATGGCACGATCTCGGCTCACCGCAACCTCCACCTCCCAGGTTCAAGCGATTCTCCTGCCTCAGCCTCCTGAGTAGCTAGGATCACAGGCATGTGCCAGCATGCCTGGCTAATTTTGTGTTTTTAGTGGAGATGGGGTTTCTCCGTGTTGGTCAGGCTGGTCTCGAACTCCCGACCACAGGTGATCTGCCCGCCTCGGCCTCCCAAAGTGCTGGGATTACAGGTGTGAGCCATCACGCCCGGCCAAATGTATTTCTTAAGAAGACGTGAAAGTCAAAATTACTCCTTGATCCATGGGCTGCAGAATGTATGTTATGTTATCAGGCATGAAAACATCATTGATTTGTGTATTTCCATCACAGCTCTTGGGTGACAAGGTGCCTTGTCAATTAGCATTAATATTTTGAAAGAAATCTTTTTTTTCTGAGCAATAGGTCTCAACAGTGGGCTTAAAATATTCAGTAAACAGTGCTGTAAGAAGGTGTGCTATCATCCAGGCTTTGTTATTTTGTTTATAAAACACAGAGTAGATTTAGCATGAGTCTTAAGGGTCCTAGGATTTTCAGAATTGTAAATGAGTATTGGCCTTAAAGTCATCAGCTGCATTAGACCCTAACAAGAGAGTCAGCATGTCTTTTGAAGCTTCGAAGCCAGGCATTGACTTCTCATCTCTAGTTATGGAAGTCCTAGATGGCACTTTCTTCCAATAGGAGACTCTTGCATCTACATTGAAAATCTGTTGTTTAGTGTAGCCAGCTCCATCAATTATCTTAGCTAGACTTTCTGGCTAACTTGATGCAGCTTCTACATTAGCACTTGTTGCTTCATCTTGTACTTTTATGTGATGGAGATGACTTCTTTCCTTAAACCTCATGAACCAGCTTCTGCTAGCTCCCAACTTTTCTTCTGCAGCTTCCTCAGTCTCTCAGCCTTCACAGAATAAAAGAGAGTTAGGGTCTTGTTCTAGACTAGGTTTTGACTTAAGGGAATACCACTCAAATCTTGTGCACGTCAGCAATAGCATTTGTTTTCTTATTATTCATGTGTTCACTGGAGTAGCACTTTCACCCCACACAAGCTCAACCTCTTCCACTATCACCATCTCTCATCAGAGAAATACATTTTTTACTTTCTATGAATCTACGTTGACACATCATCATCACCCAAAGTTTGTAGTTTAGAGTTTGCATTAGGGTTCGCTCTTGGTGCTGTACATTCTGTGGTTTTTGTCGGTGTGTGTTTGTTTTTAAGAGACAGGGTCTCTCTCTCACCAGGCTGGAGTGCAATAGCACAATATCATAGCTCACTGTAGCCTTGAACTCTTGGGCTCAAGTGATCCTCTTAGCCTCCTGAGTAGCTAGGATTACAGGCGTGAGTCACTGCACCCAGCTCTATGGGTTTTGTTGAATGCAAATGTATCCACCATTGTAATATCATACAGAATACTTTCACTGCCCTAAAAATTCTCTGTGCTCCATCTACTCATTCACCAATTCTTTTGTTGTTGTTTTTAATATCGTGGCAGTGTTTCCACTATACATGGTCTTTAAAGTTTGGTTGAATTATTGTGTGAGAAACTATCTGTGCCTGCTTCTCTTTGAGGTGGGACCTCTTTGAAAATATGCTCTATGTTTTTCTTTGGAGATTGATTTTTGTTTAGATTTCTTTTGGCATCAGTTTTTAAAAACTTCATTGAAAATCACCTATTTCATTCAGTTTTTAAAATTTATTTGCATAGATTAGGGCCAAGTAGTTTTTAATAAAATTTTAATACAGCTTGTTTCTGTTGTTACTTTATAATTTTGTGTGGTTTTCTTTCCTTAGTTTACTCTTAAATTATCTAGGGGCATATTCCACCCCCCCACCCAAAATCAGCTTTTAGACTTACTTTATTCCACTTTTTAAAAATTTTTCTGCTTTTTTGTTTTTGGTTATTTGCTTTTTCAAATTGTGAAAATTTTCTAAAATTTCTTGAAGACTGAATTTTCCTTCAAGCACTGGTTCAGTTGTATTTGATTTGATATTGTATTTTCAATATTATTTGTGATAAGTTTTATAATTTTAGTTTGATTTTCTTCTTTAACCCAACAGGTACTTATAATAATGTAAATAAAACTTGTAATGTTCTATATGGCTCTTGCAGCCTCTTTGAAGTAGTAACTCTTAAGGGATCTGTCAAGGCTAAGCTACATAAGGTTTATGTTAAATTGGTAGCATAGGTTTCTCTTTTCAAATAGTAAAAAGAATGTCTAATGAAGTTGTTTGTGGAGTCACTTTAACTTGTAATTTAATATAACTTTATAATTTAAATAACTTAAATTGTTACATTTATAACTTTAGTATGTTTGGTTCCGATCTGGATTTGAAATAAAGAGCTGAGATTCAAGTGAATTCTCAAGCAACAGGCAAAGGGAACTTGATGTCTTTGGTTCTACCAAAGTTTTTGTTGTTAAAGAATTAGAATGTGGTACCTGTTTTTGCTGCTGAACTGTGATCCCTTGTTACATTTAATACATCTGTAGTAAACTCAATAAGTAATGTAGAATCTTCCCTCTTTTGTAATTCCACTGCTATCGGCGTAGTCAAGGCAAGCCACCTAAACTTTACATACGCTTCCTAGTTGATATCCTTGTCTTGAGATCTTACCTTCAATTCACCAGTCCTCTTGTCCGTGGTGTCTTTTTCTTGAAACAGCTCTCAGTATATGATTTCTTTCAAAAGCTTTAAATTGTTCAGAATCTTGACCATATCTGATGCTCTCTAAGATCATCTGAACTATCTTTTATTCATTCAACAAGATATATTAAGTATCTACTCTAGGAGGTGCTGTACTTAATATTAGGGTTATAATACCTAGGGGACAAATGTGATCATTACCACATGGAGTCTATAATGTAATGGGGAAGAGAGTGGGGAATAAGCAAATACAGATATGATGGATGTTAAGAAGGTGAAGTATAGGATGATAAGGGATTGTAATGCAGGATCCATCCTAGTCTAGAGAGTTAAGGCCAGCTTCCTTAGGAAAGGAAGAACTTTAGTTAAGACCTAAAATATGAATGAGACTTAGCCAGTGAAAGGGGGGAGGGAGGAAGAAGAACAGAAGGCTAGGCAGATGCTTGCATGCGTAAAGGCTCTGAGAAGGAACAGATTTTTGGTTTTTTACAAAGAGCCTTTTTCAAAAACTGTAAAGAAGGTCACGTGGATGGGTGATGAAGCTGGAGGGGGTAGGTCTTTGTACACCATTTGAAAATTACTTTTTCCCAAAGGCATCAGAAATGGTACAGATATGTTTAAGCAGGGAACAACTACAGATTTTTAGTTAAAAAAATCACTTTGCAATGTGAAGTATGGTTTGGAGATAGTGTATGGATGTAAGGAAATTAGAAAAGAGTTGCCTGTAGTGTAGGTGAATGATTATGGGAGCCCTACTAAGGCAGTGGCAGAGGAACTTGAATCAAGTAGCTGGATTTGAGAGGTAAAATCAGCATGGCTTGGTGACTGGATGTAGGAGTAGAGGGTAGAGCTGAGAGTGGTTTCAGGTTTCTTGCTTGAACAGTGGATGGATGGCAAAACCATTTATTAAACGTGGGACCACTGGGGCAGAAGGAGGTTTTGGGAGGATGGAGTAGGATAAAGAGCTCAATTTTGTACTACTGATTTTAATGTGCCTGGGAGACATCAGTGTCTGGTACCAGCTGTTTAGGTAAACGAGACTGGAGCATGGAGAAGTTTAGCCGATAGAAATATCACCTGTATGACCGCTACTTGAAACCATTAGAGGAGATAAGACTGTCTTGGATAAAAGTATAGAAGGCAGAATAGAGAAGCCTAGGACAGAATCCTGAGGAATTCTGACATTTAATGTTTGGACAATAATGGCTAAAAATGCGGTGTGCTTATTAGGGTCAGGCATCATTCTGAGTGCTTTATACATATGCAGTCATTTAAATTGTACAGCATCTTTGTGAGGTAGGTTCTATTACTCCTATTTTACAGGTGCTAAAAGCAGGTGAGAGAGAAGCTAATGGAAAAATTGCTAGTAAATAAGCAGCTGGAGAAATGGGAGAAAAATGGAAGTTCAGTGTTAGTAAAAACAAGAAATGTCTGTAGAGCAGGAGTGTGCCTTTTTGTTGAAGGCTGCTGCTAAGTCAACCAAAATGAGAGCTATAAAAGATCCACAGCTTTAAGGGATGGCATCGACAATTGCTAACTTCAGCTAAAACAGTTCTGGTGGAATGGTAGAAACGGAATCCAGGTTGATGAGGTCTGAAGAACTGGAGACTGAAAACACATTTGAATTTGTGTAATGCTAGAGGGAAGTAGTTGTCACAGAAGAACTAATTTTTCTTGTTTAGATTGGGGATGACATGAGCTTGTAAAATGCTGATTTAAGCATCAATAGAGAGGGAGCAGCTCTTTGTTAGAAGACATCAAAGACGGAATCCTAAAGTAAAGTTTTGTATGAAGGCACAATTCCGTAGGATCCAGGGCACAGGTAGAAGCGGGGGCGGGGGGAGGGGGGATACCTTCTTCACTTAGTAAAGAAAGGAAAAATGAAAGGATAGGTCTACATTAGATGATGGAAAGTTGAGGTAGTTCCCAGCTGATGCTGCTTTTCTTGAATCAAAGTTAATACCATTTGGGAGTAGATATGGAGTATTTCTTTATAGTTTTACATCCCTCTGAGGACTGTGTATCCTGGTAATGTTATCTGCTCATTCTTGTTTCTGTAGCAGGAAGATCTCTGTACGTTTTTATTATAAAATATATGGCTGAAACAATATATTCCATATAAGTTAAAACACATAATAAAGCAAGCACCAGATCCCAACTCTCAACTCAAATAGTATGTTTCCAACAGTGTTGAGGCTCCTTTCTCATGTGGTACCTTCTCCTTCCTGTAACCATGACCCTGAAGTTTTCCCTTGCTTTTAAGACCATTTTTTTTTTTTGCTGCCCTGTTAGAGTTGTGTTTTTTTTGTACCTTATAGAAAGTGGTATCATGCTATATATTCTGCAGTTTGCTTTTTTCACTCATTATATTTAGTATTTTTATATCAATACAAGTGCCTGTATTTGGTTCTCTCTACTTAGTTTTAGTGTCTGAATAGATGGATGCTTGAAGTTTTGGGGTTTTTTTTTGTCACTGAAGAATTTTACTTTGAGGAATCTTTTAGGTGTTACTGAGAATCAGGAGTAAGATTTTTTTTCAGGGTACATATCTATCATTAGGCTGTAGGACATGCTCATGATTAACTTCATAGGTAAAAATTCTGAACTGTTTTCCAAAATTATTGTACCAATTTATACTAATACTGTTATTATTACATAGGAGTTCCTATTGTTCTGTACCTTTATAAAGACTTAATATCAGTCTGTTTTTTCCAACACTATTGAGGTATAATATACTTAACACAAAGTAAACCCATTCTAAGCGTACATTTGTTTATAGTAAATTTGTAGAGTTATCGAACTGGTAGCACAGTCTAATTTTAGAGTATTCCTATCATCCCCCCAAAGTTCTCTTTTGTGCTCTGATTTACTTTCTATCTTTAAAAATTTGTCTTTTCTGGACATTTCACATAAAATAGTCTTCTGCATCTGGCTTCTTTTACTTAGCATATTTTTGAGGTTTATCCATGTTATAGCATGTATCAGTATTTCATTGGTTTTTATTGCTGACTAGTATTCCATTGTGTGGGTGTACCACATTTTGTTTATCCACTTACCAGTTGCTGGATATTTGGATTGTTTTCATTTTGGGCCATTATGCTGCTGTATACATTTATATACAAGTCTTTATGTGGACATGTTTTCATTTCTTTTGGGTAGATACCTTGGAGTGTAATACTTTACTATTTTAATTACTGAGGCTTTATAATATGTATTTATCCAGTTGCACAGGTTCTCCACCTTGTTCTGTTTCAGATTGGTCCTTTCTCTTCCGTATAGATTTGAGTTAAAGTCCCATGAAATGCCCCCCTCTTTTCTGTCAATGTTGTTTATCTGGGAAATCTTTAAAAAAAAGTTTTGCTCCTTTAAATTTCCTGTAGGACATTGCATATTGTTTGTTATAATATTTATTTTTGTCTGTTACAGGTAATTATTCTAAATCTTTCCACTGTATTATAAATGTCTTGAAGTTGCTTGTTCATCTCTCTGATACTCACCGTGCTATTTGTGTAATATGTTTGAGTAGTGAATGAATATTAACAGAGAAATCCTATTGGCTCAGTGCTATTAAAACCAACAGGCCTTTCTGATCTTAGACTTTATAGGGGTAAAATTAGGACTCATATTTCTAATATAAAAATTGAATTTCTGGCATTAGAATTGAATTTTTAAATGCAACTTAATAAAACTGGTATTAATACTCTTTCTCCTTTTTCATTAGGCAAGTACTTTTTTTGTGTATGTATAGTAAATAGCCATAAGATCTTAAATCTCTTCTACTGTATTTAAGAAACATTATTTTCACATATTTATACTTAAACAGTCACAAAATTTATGTTTTCTTATCCTATTTGGTAGGAAGCTGTAGAGAAATATGAAGAAGTGCTACATAATTTGGAATTTGCCAAGGAGCTTCAAAAAACCTTTTCTGGGTTGAGCCTAGATGTGAGTATGTTTTCTTTGCTTTTCCTGAAACCAGTTTTAACCACTGATCTTGGAGAAAATGTCAGTGTGTCAGTGTCTAGTAATGGTGTTTGGTTATTATTCTTCTAATTTCTGCTGATATTTTATCGTGATGGAAGGTTGAGGATAACTGTTGGAGAACTAGTTTTTTCAGATTTCTGTAGTCTCAAGGGAGAACACAAATGGCATCTGAGTATGAGACATTGTGAATAAAGCATTAGTTATCTAATGTATGTTATTTAATTACAGAATTATAGAAATCATTGACACAGGGAATCAAACTTTTGACAAGGTATATTTATTAAAGATATTTTAGAATATAGGCTTGTAAATTTATATAAGATAGGCTTCTTTCACATTATTTAACATATGAGACAACAGAGTTGGTAGTCTTCTTGAAAGCATGAAAATTATTGATGGGAAAATTAATGACTCATGTTAAATAGAGTTAAATCTGGCCTCACTACTTGTTAGGTTCTCTATGTTGGCAGTTCAAAATTTTATCTCTGACAAATTTAATCAGTAATATGAAGTCTTAAACACTTCTCAGTGAAGTATTCTTTACTTTTTCAAATCTCAGCACTAGAAGGTCCTTTAAAGGTCAAGTTCCAACAATTGTGGAAATTTTTAAATAAATTCATTCCTGGAGAGGAGAGCATGCCTCATAAGATAATCTCTTCTATTTTTTTGGATATTTTCATTAAAAAAATTTATATTTTTTTATTATGTTTTAGAGACAAGGTCTCGCTCTCTCACCCAGCCTAGAGTGCAGTGGTGTGATCATAATTCTCTGGAGGCTTATAATCCTGGGCTGAAGGGATCTTCCTGCCTTGGCCTCCCAAAATGCTGGGATTACAGGTGTGAGCAGTCGCCCTGGCCTATTTTTCTTTATAGTGAACTAAAATTCTCTTCTCCATTCCTCTGGAATAAAGAAAAATTCTTCTAGGCTGGAGACATTTACCATCCTAATTCTTGGCTAAGAAGGATTACAAATATGGTTAGAAGTATACTTTTATGATATTTAAAATTTTCTGTCTTCTGTCTTTACTCAGAGTTACCCAGTAACAATTTAGTTTTTCATTCAGGCCTATATTTTTCTAATATATGGTATTCTTTTCTTCTTTTTAGATTAAAAACGTGTAAAAAATGCCTACCTTGTGCCAGGCACTTATGCAGCTCCACTTGATTTTTACAATAGTCTGGGAAGTTGCTATAAATAGTCCAATTTTACAGATCAGGAATCTGAGACTCAGAGCAAAAGTAACTTATTCTTTTTTTTTTTTTTTTGAGACGGAGTCTTGCCCTGTCGCCCAGGCTGGAGTGCAGTGGCACGATTTCGGCTCACTGCAAGCTCCGCCTCCCGGGTTCACGCGATTCTTCTGCCTCAGCCTCCCAAGTAGCTGGGATTACATGCGCGACTTATTCTTTTTAAGAAAACTTTTATTTTAGGTTTAGGGGTATATTATATGTGCAGGTTTGTTATAAAGTTAAACTCATGTCATGGGGATTTGTTGTATAGATTATTTTGTCACCCAGTTACTAAGCCTTGTACCTAATAGTTATTTTTTCTAATCCTATCCCTCCTCTTACCTCCACCCTCAAGTGGCTCCAGTGTGTATTGTTCCCCTCTTATGTGTCCATGTGTTCTCATTGTTTAGCCCCCACTTATATGTGAGAACATGTGGTATTTGCTTTCTGTTTCTGTGTTAGCTTGCGAAGGATAATGGCCTGCAACTCCATCCATGTTCCTGCAAAGGACATGATCTTGTTCTTTTTTATGGCTGCATGGTATTCCATGATATATATGTACCACGTTTTCTTTATCTGGTCTATCATTGATGGGCATTTAGATTGATTCCATGTCTTTCCTCTTGTGAATAGTGCTGTAATGAACATATGCATGCCTGTGTCTTTATGGTAGAATGATTTATATTCCTTTGGATATATAACCAGTGATGGGATTGTTGGGTCAAATGGTGGTTCTGGTTTTAGCTCTTTGAGGAATTGCCACACTGCTTTCCACAATGGTTGACCTAATTTACACTCTCATCAACAGTGTGTAAGCATTCCCTTTTCTCTACAACCTTGACAGCATTTGTCAGTTTTTGATTTTTTAATAATAACCATTCTGACTGGTATGAGATGGCATCTCATTGTGGTTTTCATTTGCATTTTTCTAATGATCAGTGATGTTGAGCTTTTTATCATATGCTTTTTGGCCACATGTATGTCTTCTTTTGAAAAGTGTCTATTCATCATGTCCTTTGCCCATTTTTTAATGTTTATTTTTCTTGTAAATTTATTTAACTTCCTTATAGATACTGGATATTAGATCTTTGTCAGATGCATAGTTTGCAAAAGTTTTCTCCCATTCTGTAGGTTGTCTGTTTACTCTGTTGATGGTTTCTTTTGCTGCATAAAAGCCCTTAAGTTTAATTAGATCTAACTTGTCAGTTTTTGCTTTTGTTTTGATTACTTTTGGCATATTTGTTACAAAATCTTTGCCAGTTCCTATATTCAGAATGGTATTTCCTAGGTTATCTTACAGGGTTTTTATAGTTTTGGGTTTTACATTTAAGGAAAAGGAACTTATTCAAAGTCATATGGCCAGTAAGTGGTAGAGCCAAGATATGGCCCTAGGTACTTTTTCTCTATATCGTGAATATAGTGTCTTATCTGTTTTGTTTTTTTTTTTCTTTGCTGCTGTAGTCTAGAGGTAGCTCCCAACTCACCAAATTTTGTTAATATCCATGAAATTATTTTTACTTGCCTGTGTTTGAGATTTACTTTCATTTTAGGTGACATGATAAAGTACTTTGGAGGTTGCCTTACTGAATCAAGACCCTGAAAGGTGCTTGGCAGTACTTTTGAGGTTTTTTTAATTTTACCTGGTAATTTTTGGGCTCCTCTTTTAAGTTTTTCTTTTGTCAGACATGTTCTATGATAGCCAGTTTTGCAGTTTGTGGAACATTTTCTTTTTTCCCTTCAAAGTAAATTTGGAAGTCCTTCTTTTCGACCTTGTTACATTCTGCTTTGTCCTCATGAGCTCTGTCTCCTGGTAGGGATTCATCATTCTGAGTCTCGATTAAGAAAACCAATTTTATCGGCCAGGCGCGGTGGCTCACGTGTGTGATCCCAGCACTTTGGGAGGCCGAGGCGGGCGGATCATGAGGTCAGGAGATCCAGACCATCCTAGCTATGATGATGAAACCCCGTCTCTACTAAAAATACAAAAAATTAGCCGGGCGTGGTGGCGGGTGCCTGTAGTCCCAGCTACTCGGGAGGCTGAGACAGGAGAATGGCGTGAACCCGGGAGGCAGAGCTTGCAGTGGGCCGAGATCGTGCCACTGCACTCCAGCCTGGGCGACAGAGTGAGACTACGTCTCAAAAAAAAAAAAAAAAAGAAAACCAGTTTTATCATTCAGTACTACTGATTGAGAGTGGTTTCCTTTCCAAACTGGTCCTCAACTGGAAAAAGAGAACAATGTAACCCACCTTTCTAATTTTCATCTAAAGAAGGAGAAATTGGCTCTTGTCCATGACTTTTCATGACACCTGATTGTGATCTGGGAGACTTTCCTGATATTTGATTTTATTCAACAAAAATTTGAGGCCCTGATATTTGTCAGACTCTGTGCTGGGCGTTAGTGAATATTGGTGAACAGTAGATATAGTCCCTGTCATCATAGATGCAGATAAATAAAAAATAGCCAGGGATGGTGGCTTACGTCTGTAACCCTAGCCCTTTGGGAGGAGGATTGCTTGAGTTCAGGAGTTCAAGACCAGCCTGGACAACATAGAGAGACCTCATCTCTATTAAAAAAAAAAAATTAGCCAGGCATGGTGGCATGTACCTGTGGTTCCAGCTATTCAGGAGGCTGAGGTGGGAGGATCACTTGAGCTCAAGAGGTCAAAGCTGCAGTGAACCTTGACTGTGCCACTGCACCCCAGCCTGGATGGCATAATGATACTCTGTCTCAAAAACAAACAAAAAACCCAAAAATACTTTGATAGGGGAAGTTCAAGGTGGCATGAGCCCATATGACCACCCAGTCCTACCTTGGGAGACTGGCCAAAGATAAATCTGAGATAATCATGTGGTATAATTGTCTGAAGATGCCCTGTGAATCAGTTGCTTTTCCCTATACCATGAGAAACTCCAGTGTTTTGGAGAGCTAGGAGTGCCACCTCCGTCCTCTTTTCTTCTCTCAAGCAGGATCAGAGAATCCTGTAGTTTTGGTAAGTGTTATTGATGCAGTCTATACTGAGGTCTTGCAAAAAGCCTTACTGAGCCTTTCCCATCTGAGAAAATGTGCTTGCCCATGCAACCTTCAACCAGTCTATTTCTCATTCTGAAAATTTTATATCTTCACTTACTATCTTTCTGTCCCTAGCAGTAGCACAAATCATATTTATTAAGTTGCTTCCACATCCCCTAGGAAGGGATTAATTATGCCACAGTGAATCTTTTTCATGAGGTTTTCCCCCTAATTTTAATCTGTTAGGATTTACGAACATCTCTTTTATATAATTTAAAATATCGATGCTATATCAAAGTACTTTGACCCATCTATAGGAAAAATCTTAGTGGTTTTTTTTTTTTTGTATTTTAATCTTCATACCTTGCGGAATATCCAATATGATGGAAACGTTACAATCAAAAACTATGGAGGGAAAAGACCTTTTAGGTTTCTTAATGGAAAGAGATAGTAGTTTTTAGTTAAATGCAAGTCCTTTCTGGGACCCATGAATATTATGTCAGACTTTAAGGTATTATAGTTCTAAGCTTTAGAGCAGATCTAGGGCTGCTCAATCTATGTACACAAATTGTTGGAGGGGAAACTGCTTTTTTTTTTTTTTTGGGACAGGATCTCACTCTGTTGCCCAGGCTGGAGTGTAGTGGCACTGTCACCACTCACTGTAGCCTTGACCTCCCGGGCTCAAGCAATCTGTCTACCACAGCTTCCTGAGTAGCTGGGACTACAGACACACACCACCATGCCCAGCTAATTTTTGTATTTTTTGTAGAGATGGGGTTTTGCCATGTTGCCCAGGCTGGTCTTGAATTCCTGGGGTCAAGTGATTCACCCTCCTCGACCTCCCAAAGGGCTGGGATTACAGGTGTGTATCATTGTGCCTGGCCTGAGGGAAAACTTAAGCTCCATTGATTTTCTGTATCTGTTTTGTCAGCTAAATATTGGAGGATGTAGCTCTGTCCAGACTGACAGGGCAAATTATTATTTAAAAAATTTTTAATTTTACTTCTGAAACAAAATAACATGTTTGCTGTGGCTGGTTTTTGGCATTACACTTGGAAGACATTTTATGTCTGTTAGCTTTTCAACCCCTTATGCTTTAGCCAGTCTTCTTTGGTTCATTAAAACTGACCATTTTAGTTTAAATATTTTTTCCCCTGGAATATGAAATTTAAAAAAAATCCTAAAAGGTCCAAAAAGGACTGATACACATAAATGTGAAAGAGTAAAATGTTGAAATGAATATGGACATCAATGATTGGTACTTCGCTACTCATCATGGTGATATTAGCGGTTCTAGACATATCCTGGATTTGGGAGTCAGATATTTGACCCCCTTGGCTCTGGTTACCTGAGACAAACCAGTTTATTACTCAGTGACTTCTTTAGCTCAAAAAGGAGACAGACTAAACTGGTAGTTTGACAGTCATGAGATTTATCATCTAATCTCAGCTATTTGGGTTTAGACTTTGTAGATACGTATTGCTAATATGGGATGGTAGAGAATTGTTACCCTTAATTAGCCATTTGTTTTAACAGCTACTAAAAGCGCAAAAGAAGGCCCAGAGAAGGGAGCACATGCTAAAACTTGAGGCTGAGAAGAAAAAGCTTCGAACTATACTTCAAGTTCAGTATGTATTGCAGAACTTGACACAGGAGCACGTACAAAAAGACTTCAAAGGGGGTTTGAATGGTGCAGTGTATTTGCCTTCAAAAGAACTTGACTACCTCATTAAGTTTTCAAAACTGACCTGCCCTGAAAGAAATGAAAGTCTGAGGTAAGCTAATGAAAAGATTTTCCTGAAATGAAACACTTGACACTTTAGCTTTTTAGGGGTGTGTGTATGTGAGAGAGAGAGTGTGTGTGTGTGTGTGTGTGTGTGTGTGTGTGTGTGTTAGAGAGGGGGAGAGAGAACTTAAGAAAGTATTAATTTGATTCAATATGGAAACCTTGGCTGGCCCAGAGTCTGACAGGGTTGACAGATTGTCTGGAAGGAAAGTGAATGTGAATGGTCTCATTAACATGCTTCTTTATTGTAATACTGATTTTTAAAAAAATGAGGTCTGAGCATCAAATTTTAATCCTGTACAAGTATAATATTATATCTATTTCTAAAACTTTTAAAGTAATTTTCTCAGAGTTGCCTTCTTACTCCTGCTATACTTAAGTAGAGGTAAATAATATTTAACTTGGCTGGTGTCATTAAACTTTCAAAGTAACAATTATTTGGTGTTCTTATTATGCTGTGAATAACTAGTGATAAATACATTTGATAGTTTAAAATACAAAACCTGCAAACTGGGGCTGTCTGATTTTTTTTCCCTCACAGTGATCCATTGCTCTTTTTGTTTTGATGGAGTAAATCAGCTAGGGGACAGATGCTGTGCTCTTGCTTTGTTAGATGCAGGCTATTCCAGCTTTGTATTTGTTAGCCCTACTAAAGTAGAGTCAGATTTCAACGGTTACCAGAAATCAGTCTCTGATCAGAAAGAAGCCTAATAGAACTCTTAATTGCCTATATATAGCCATGTATTTTTTAATTCTCATGCTGATAGTCTACTCCATCGTCATCATCTATACATTGCCTCCTTCACTTTTGTGGGTTCAGGGAATGTAGCTTCACTTTAATATATGAAATATAAGCAAAACATAATTTGTTAAATAAGCTGCTTTCTTTAAAGTCAAATGCGGCTCTTAATATTTCAATTTCACTGTTCTTTTATGTAGGGCATACACCTGAACTAATGATACTGCATTGGCAGCTTTAAACTCTTTTTGGTCTATTCTTTAATGGGTTTATTTGGTAAAATCCATATTTTAGTTGTTTTAAGGAAAAATTCTTACATTTGAAATCCTTAAGCAGGCATTTAGTCATCTTGTATACATTTCAATTTTTTTATTTCCAAAGAGCAAAAAGACAAAATTAACATTTGAATGTCTTGTCTGTTAATGGGTTATATTGCATAAATTGTGCTGCTCCATATATATGTACTTCTAAAGCCACTTTGTTCTGCTGCTGCTTTTCCTTGTCAGTGTTGAAGACCAGATGGAGCAGTCATCCTTGTACTTTTGGGACCTTTTGGAAGGTAGTGAGAAAGCAGTGGTAGGAACGACATGTGAGTTTTCTCTACTCTGGACTTATGCAGTAAATACTAAACTTTATGTCTAGAAGTTTAGTATGATATTGAGGGTCTAAACTGTGTTAGTCCATCAGAACTTACATGTCTGACAATACTATATTCACTGGGAGAATGATCCCTTTGTTTAGTTCTGTTAAAAGCAGCTATTGTATAACCCTAGTCACTAAAGTGGAATTCAGGGAGAGTTTTGAAGTGGCAAGTTGATATGATTTGGAAATAGAGCTAAGTACTGGCTTCAACACTAGCTTGATCATTTTGGGGTTCAGTTTTCTATTCTGTGTGGTAGTACCTGTTCTATTTAAGAATCTTAAATTCATGCATTGTTAATATCAAGGCTTATCTACCAGATCAGCCTAAGAATATATGAATGGTTTTATAGTCTATTGAAACGTTGTCTATTGATCTGGAAGTGGTCTGTGGAAAGAGAGTTCTTTTGGCTTGCTAAATAGACTTTGGCCAAATGACCAAATACAAATGACTGGACATGAAGTACATAGCTTTGTGTACTAGCTTAGAGTAATGAAAACTCACTAGAAGGTAGTAAATATTTTTGTTACCAGTGATTGCTTCCTTTTAAAAAAAAATCCAAATATCTATAACTATCTTAAGATTTCTAAGTTTGTTCAAGCTTAAATCAAAATTAAAAATTTATTTCTTGGTTAGAATGCAAAATGAGTTTAGAAAATAGTTTGGCAGTATTTTAATAAAATGAAGCATACACTTATAACGCTAAGCAATTAGTCTTCTAGCTAAGATAAATGAAGACGTGTTCATATAAGTACTTGTACATGAATGTTCATATTAGCTTTATTCAGCTGATAAATTGATAAAATGTGGTATACCCATGCAGTGGAATCTACTCACCAATAAAAAAGGGACGGAACTATTGATACATGTAACAACATAGATGAATCTCAAAATAATTATGCTGAGTGAAAGAAGCCAGACATAAAATGAGTACATATTGTAAGATTTCATTTATATGAAATTCTAGAAAAGACATAATGGGATGATAGTGGGTTATTGGTTTTCAGGGGGTCAGGAGAGGACAATTAATTGCAAAAGGGGTAGTAAGGAATTTTTTGGGTTGATGAAAATCCTCTATATCATGGTTCTGGTGGTAACACAACTAAATATCTGTTAAAACTGTATAGTTAAGATAGGAGGATTTTGCCTGTAAATTATATCTGAAAGCTGATTTTTTTTTTAAAAGACAAAATCTGTCATAGTACTCCTATGAAAGGAATAATAGACTCAAAATCTATGTCATAGTACTCCTGTGAAAGGAATAATAGACTAAAATGAAGTACGGAAACTCTGCTAAGTTTGGGATTATGTTTTTAATGGATTTTTAAAATAAAATGACTTTAGACTTATTTGTAGTGTAGTGACCTCAGCATCATTTTAAGGTTTTTCTTGATCATCAAATGGTCAGGTGGTAGGAAGGACAAACAGCATAACTCGAGTAAAATCTTCATGATGGAATTTTGTAGTTGAAAAATACTTCAGAGTTTGTAAAAGATAGGGTTTTCTAAAATAGATTAATAATATTAGTAATCTAATAGAGATTGTCCAATATAGGATTTTCTAACCCAATCTAATAGATTTTGAGGAACTGACTTTTACTTCTCTAAAGCCTTAATTACTTGGGGAAGGTAGAGTGGTTGCTAGCTGTGATGTCTTGGGAGCAGATAGGAAAAATGACTTATTTCTCATCTCAGGGAATAGATGTGTGCTTTTGTGACATACTTGATTAGGGTCTCTGATTTTTAGTCATTTTTCAAATGGTGGAAATGGAGGTCCAGAGAAACTTAAGTGACTTGCTGAACTTTTGAGATTCTGATCTCATTAAAATTCATATTGATTCAGCATAAAATAAAGATGGACTGCATATTTACTTTTCATGGTACTGACAAGTTCTCCAGTCAGTACCATGAAAGTGTAAACTGTTGTAAACTATTGTAAGGATGTACTATGTACATCAATGTAAACTATTGTAACAATGTACTACAACTAGGATAAAATTAGGATTTCTATTCCCAGTAATTTTCAATTAGGTCATGTGACAATTAAGTCTTAATCACTCTTTCTTAGACAAACACTTGAAGGATCTACTGTCTAAATTGCTGAACTCAGGCTATTTTGAAAGTATCCCAGTTCCCAAAAATGCCAAGGAAAAGGAAGTACCACTGGAGGAAGAAATGCTAATACAATCAGAGAAAAAAACACAATTATCGAAGACTGAATCTGTCAAAGAGTCAGGTTTGTTGTGACCTCTGAAAATCCTTATAGTGGTTGCATTTTTTAATACCCCAAATGAGTCACGTATTGTGCAGTGATTGCCTTATTTTAATTTGTTAGGTTCTACATGCATGGAAATCTTTACTTACCACAGGATAAACCTAGGTTTATAAAACATCTCTAGGCTTTATCACCATGATTTACCGAGTGAAACTTATTAGAAATATTAATTTGTACTTTGTCCCAAAAGAATACATTGGTTAAAAGGAGCCATTTATGGAATTTGAATAAACTTCTCTGTTAAACTACTAGTAGGATAATTCTGTTTAAAATTGTTTACAGTGGAAGTTAGAGTAGAAACCAGTACTGTAGTGGAATGAGGATGTAATTAACCTAAGGTCGAAATACTGATTCAGGGGAAAAAAGTGCTAAAGTCAGTAAAGAAAATATACTTTTAAAATTATCATTTGCCTGGGGAAGAAATACTTTGAGCAAGTGGCACTTCTGCTTTTGTTTACCAAAGTTGGATTTATTAAAGAAATACCTCTTCTCAGGAGGTAGTCCAGGCAGGGTTCTGGTAGCCATAAGCAAGAGCGAAACCATTTTCCATGTTTATTTCCCCTTAGTTCTTAATACTAAGTGCAGTGCTTAAGTATCTCCACTCTCTTATCCCCTCCTAACCTTAAACTGGCTTGTAAGAGGTTTTTAAGGGCTCTATTTCAAGCTGAGATGACCAATTTTTACCCCATGGGACATGAGCTATAATGCTAACTTGAAAAAAAGCTGTGTTTTAGGGTAAGAAGAAATAGTGTTATTTTCAATCAGATATCAGTTTTAAACTGAAACTTGACTTTCGTAAAGTGTCTTACATAAGGAGAGCTACTAGTTTGAACTAGCCTCAGACCACATGCTTTGGACTAACAAGGAATATAATTCCTCTTGCCATCAATATACTTGATTATATTACCCTTTTTCTGTTACGAGTCTTCTGAAATATGTTGCTAGAATGAATTATAGTTGTAATCTGTCTAAAAACTTACAGTTCACCTAGTATTTATTCAGATTCTTTTTATCATCCCAGAGTCTCTAATGGAATTTGCCCAGCCAGAGATACAACCACAAGAGGTAAGATACTGAAAGACAATTTGCTGATGTTGATTTTTCAGCCTTTTGCATAGGGTTATGGTTGGAAGCTAAGGCTCTGGAGCCAGACTGCCTGAGCTTGAACCCTGGTTCTGCAGTTTACTAGCTTAGGGACTTTGGGCAAGAAATCTGGTCCAGCTGTGTCTGTTATCCTCATATGTAAAATAGGGATAACGTTAATGACTACTTCATGGGGTTATTGTGAGGATTAAAGAGGTTGATCTAAATTCTAAATTACTTAGAATTTGGTCTGGCACACGAACTGCCCAAATGATAGCTATTTTTGGCTCCTGTGTTAGAGGAACTTTAAGATGCGCAGGACTTTGCTCTCTCCAGAATTTACTCACATTGGTAGCAGAAAAGGGTATTTGTTCTCTTTCTGAAGTGACATTGAAATTCATGGGAAGCTGAAAAGAATGGGAGATTCAAAAACAGTGTCATTGATGTATAAGGGAAATAAAGAAAACACTGGTAACTTAGGAAATGTCACGTTTAAGGTTACATAATTTAACTTTGAAGTTGAACTATCTTCTGCCTTTTAATGTTTGAGGGAGTCAACTGGGGAGAATGGTCCTAAGGCTGGCAAAGGCGGAACAGCCTTGGTAGAAGAATCCGAATCAAGCAATTCTTGCCAGTCTTAGGCAAGTCCAACAGAAGTTGCTACTTTTGATGTATCGAAGTCTGTATTTCTGTTAATTGAGGAAAAAGGAATGGACAGAAAAGTAGGAAAGTAGGAAAGAGAAGTAGGAAAGTCTTTTCAAGTAGAATAAGGACAGAAATTTAATATTAGTGCAACAACTTAGATCAGAGGACATAGCAATACTAATAGAGTTGAATATTCCCTCCAAGGTCTTCTATGAATTTTGTGACTTAAGTGCATTGTTTCTCTATCTAGTTTCTTAACAGACGCTATATGACAGAAGTAGATTATTCAAACAAACAAGGCGAAGAGCAACCTTGGGAAGCAGATTATGCTAGAAAACCAAATCTCCCAAAACGTTGGGATATGCTTACTGAACCAGATGGTCAAGAGAAGAAACAGGAGTCCTTTAAGTCCTGGGAGGCTTCTGGTAAGCACCAGGAGGTATCCAAGCCTGCAGTTTCCTTAGAACAGAGGAAACAAGACACCTCAAAACTCAGGTCTACTCTGCCGGAAGAGCAGAAGAAGCAGGAGATCTCCAAATCCAAGCCATCTCCTAGCCAGTGGAAGCAAGATACACCTAAATCCAAAGCAGGGTATGTTCAAGAGGAACAAAAGAAACAGGAGACACCAAAGCTGTGGCCAGTTCAGCTGCAGAAAGAACAAGATCCAAAGAAGCAAACTCCAAAGTCTTGGACACCTTCCATGCAGAGCGAACAGAACACCACCAAGTCATGGACCACTCCCATGTGTGAAGAACAGGATTCAAAACAGCCAGAGACTCCAAAATCCTGGGAAAACAATGTTGAGAGTCAAAAACACTCTTTAACATCACAGTCACAGATTTCTCCAAAGTCCTGGGGAGTAGCTACAGCAAGCCTCATACCAAATGACCAGCTGCTGCCCAGGAAGTTGAACACAGAACCCAAAGATGTGAGTTGATCTGTATCATTCTGCTTCTGTAAGTGTAGGCATAAATAAGGTGTCGTGGTAATGACTTTTTAGTTCTCTTTTTTTTTTTTTTTTGAGATGGAGAAACACTCTGTTACCCAGGCTGGAGTGCAGTGGCACTATCTCTGCTCACTGTAACCTCCGCCTCCTGGATTCAAGCGATTCTCTTGCCTCAGCCTCCTGAGTAGCTGGGACTACAGGCGCATGCCACCACACCTGGCTAATTTTTTTGTATTTTTAGTAGAGACGGGGTTTCACTGTGTTAGCCAGGATGGCCTGGATCTCCTGATCTCGTGATCCAACCGCCTCGGCCTCCCAAAGTGCTGAGATTACAGGCGTGAGCCATTGTGCCCGGCCTTAGTTCTCTTCAAAGCCCATGTGAAGTTAATGTATAAAATATTTCACCCTCTTTAGTGGGTAGATTTATTGTTTTCCCTTGAAAACTGGGAGTTAATCTAGTCTGTCTTTAAGTCTAATCTGAGATGAAATTTCTGCAATTATAAAATGTTGTTTTAATGCCAAATTTTAACAATATAACATGATATGAAAATAGTAGATAGTTTAGATAAGACCATAATGACATAATGTGAACAAGTGAGTAATGCAAATGCTTGTCACAGGATGGGAGATACTGTATTTCATTTGTTGTCATTTACCTGCTATACGAATAACTTTTTCTGACAAGTTATATTTTTCTATATTCTCTTGCTTCTCTTCTACTCATTTATGGTCACTCAGTTTAGCCCAGGTCTTTATGAAGAAGGTTTATGGTGGTTGCAGATATTTCAGTATTGGGGGAAGGATTTGAATTAGTTCTCTATTTCCATTTCAAAATGAGAATTTTTCCAAAGATAGGAAAACTGTTGGCATTAAATATTTTGTAGTTAGGTTTTGGAGAACAAGATTCAGTTAAAACATAAGGCCACATTCTTTTAAGGATAAATAACCTGTTTCAGGTAGATAACACTTACATTGAATAATTCTTGGGTACAGTGCTATGTTAGGGTTGCCTTTTATTAAATTGTAAATTACTTATTTACTACTATTTATAATGCAAACTTGTTACCACCTCATTTGCTGAGATATGTGAACTTGTGCTTCCAGTGTTCTCTATCTCTATGGAGTAGTCTTCCTTGCACATCTGTGCCATTTTAGCTAAAGGCTTTCTGATAAACCATTGGACCTCTAATATAATAATATGAAAAACATTTTGCTTGGGGAAAGCAAAGCATTGCATTTTATAAGTAAATTACCTTT
The DNA here is from genome assembly GCF_000001405.40 of Homo sapiens. NCBI lineage: Eukaryota > Metazoa > Chordata > Mammalia > Primates > Hominidae > Homo > Homo sapiens. The sequence goes on along the minus strand of NC_000012.12, from coordinate 30,727,372 downwards.
GGCTTAATTCTGTATGGGAACAAAATTTTAGAGTTATTTGGCTATTTTGCTCTCCTTTCTCTCTCAAGTTGCTAATATTAATTTTAGCTTCTTCCTGACCCTACAGAAGATTGTCAGCTTTATTTTATTAACCAAATATCACACAACAGTAACTGTAATGTAACTATTTTGAAAAACATTTAAAAACCCAATTTAATATCTCAAAGCTGCTTTTAAAAACCTGACTTAAAATTCCAGTAGGTGTAGCAATGCAGAACCTTTATCATACCAGAATATTATCATGCTATTTGATGAATTGCATTTAAAATCAGTGTTACATATTTGGAAAGGTCAAAACATATTTAATTTGCTTTTGTGGGACAGATAGCGTTATATTGAAGTTGTAGGGTTTTTCAGTTACTGAGAGGAGAGGATACTTCTATGTGTAATATAGTATTTTTCTGTCTTTCTTGGAATCTGAGCTGTCTAGAATATTGACTAAGTACAGTCAAGTGCAGAATAGAGTTCAAAGCCAAAAGACTAGATAACATGAAATTAATCACTGATGTTCATACCTTCCTCCTAAAAGAGTCCCATATGTACTCACTTATGGTCTCTTAACTCTTATTTTATCTGGTACCTTTGACAAACTTAGCTGTGTGTCTTCTTTGATTAGAAGGTGGAGAAGAGGAGCTAGTGGAGACTGGCATGTTGACAGCTATAAAAAGTAACTGTAAATTGGTCTAATTCAGAATGTGCATCAATTTTAAGCAATTTAGGATGGATATCAGTAGCCCCCAAGAGTGTACTTACTTTATAACAAAATATATGTATCCCTCTCAATTTTAGGGTATGTGTATGTATGTACTTATATATGTATTTACATTTTGATTTCTGAAATCAGATACATCTTAAAACTGGGATGTACATTTAATGTGGTAGTAGTAATTTTTGCCCTGGAAAAAAAAATCATTGGTATGTCTTATTGTCAGTGGCATCTTATCCTAGAGGACATATGGTAACTCATGTCCATAATGAAAACACTCTTAACAAGGAAGTTCTGCTGGATCTTCCCTTTAAAAGGAATATTTTGTGTTTTAGAAAGAGTTCCATGAAAATTGTGAAGGGGAAAAATCTGTTTAAAGTTTGCTTATTTAGAAAAGGTATTTATGAGAAAATTCTTTACCTGTGATAAGTGAACATTGCTGTTTTTTCTTTTCCTTTAAGATGTAGTGATAAACTGTTTCCTAGATTAGGCTCTTGAATTTGCATTTCACTCTTACACATTATGGGTTTATCTTGTAGGTGCCTAAGCCTGTGCATCAGCCTGTAGGTTCTTCCTCTACCCTTCCGAAGGATCCAGTATTGAGGAAAGAAAAACTGCAGGATCTGATGACTCAGATTCAAGGAACTTGTAACTTTATGCAAGTATGAGTCATTTACAAAATCTTAAATGATATTCATGGGGCTTCTGACTGGAAACATTACAGTGAAATTATTAAGAGCATAGATTATTCTGTCAAGTCCTGGCTCTGCTGCCTCCTAGCTCTCCTAGCCTGGAGTTTAGGCAAATTACTTGATTCTGCCTCAGTTTATTTATTTGAAAAATGAGGATTATTGTTCCTACTTTCTAAGTTTGTTAGAACAAAAAAAAATGAATTAAGCATGTGAAAAGCTTAACTTGCTCAAGGATCATTACTGCTATAGATTATCAGTACTGAGAACTGTGAGAACCTACTCTGTGCCTGATATTGTTAGATACCATTGTAGTACAGATACAGAAAATGAGACATTCATTGCCTTCAAGGAATTTATATTCCAGTTGTAGAAGATTGTAAATTTATGTTAAATCAATAGTTAAATGATAAATTGTGTTATACAATATGTTTAAGTTGTGAGATACAGACACAGAATTTGAGAATGGTATGAGATTACTGAGGGCTAAAGTAGTCAAATAAGTATTTTTGTTTAGTAAAAGATCCTGAGCTTTGAATATGGGCCTGGGTTTAAATTCTGTTACTTACCAGCTGTTTATTTAACCTCCAACACTTATTTGCAAAATGTAGGAATTGCCTATACCATCAGATTAGTTGAAGATGTAAGAACTAAAATGCTCCCTGCAAATGTGTAGCTTAAGTATGCAAAATACTGGAAACTTTTCTGAGAGAACCGAGATAGGCAGATACAAGAGCGTGATTTCTCATCTTGAAAATGTTTTAACAGCATGAGCTAGTAAATGGTTGAGATAAATAGATGCTCTTTGGTTGGGTGTAATAAAAATGGGGGTTCTGATTAGACTAGGATTGATGGCTATGTTTAGGACCTTAGTAAGGTCAAGAGTTTCTTTTCTGACTTAGGCCTTAGATTTAGTATTGTAGGCTTTTGTTTTGTTTTGTTTAAAGACAGGGTCCCACTCTGCTTGTCGAGGCTAGGGTGCAGTGGTGTGGTCAAAGCTCACTGCAGCCTCGAATTCCTGGGCTCAAGCGATCCTCTTGTTTTAGCCTCCTGAGCATCTGGGACTACAGGCACATACCACCATGCCTAGCTAATTCTTCAAAAAATTTTTAGTAGCAACAAGGTCTCGCTTTTTTTCCATGCCGGTCTCGAACTCCTGAGCTCAAGCGATCCTTCTACCTCAGCCTCCCAGAGTGCTGGGGTTACAGGTGTGAGCCACTGCGCACGGCCTACTCTTGTGGTTTTAGCACTCTACACAGCCTTAAGTTATGGCAGTTACTTTAGATTTTATTTTTAATTCTTAATTTCTTTATCTATGGAGACTAGTTTTGGCATCCTGAGACAGTGATTAGCTAGATACCTATAGCTTTAGCTAGATATTTATGTGTAGCTAATAGACTATAGGCAGCATCATGAATAATTCAATGGTAATAGCTTTTAAATGAGTAATCTCTGTTTCCACTCTTTATTTAAAATCATATCTTTAGGAGTCTGTTCTTGACTTTGACAAACCTTCAAGTGCAATTCCAACGTCACAACCGCCTTCAGCTACTCCAGGTAGCCCCGTAGGTATGTAATCATTCTAAAGACTTGGAGCAAACGTCTTGAGCTAACAGCTATTTGTTGTTGTTGTCTTTTCAAATGATTTTATTTTAGATGTCCTAATATGTTGGTGTATTAATTTATTCTAACTGTATCCATCTGTTACCAGTTATATGTGGGTAAATTACCATTAGGACATTAGTGTACTTAACTGACTTGTTTTCATTTTTTGGAGAAAGGCTCTGGATGGGTGAATGGAAATACTCAATAGCTGTTTTTGTAATTTATGTTGTTGGTGGAGTGAATTCTGACTAGAAGTTGCTTGACTCCTTTGGACTCTAAATCTAGTGTTGAGGCTTTTGGGTCTTAACTACGGGTGTGATTACCACAATGAAGTGTAGAACAGTGATTAACACAGTAACTAACAAAAGAGCCTGCATTCAAATCTGGTCTGATGCTTCAAAGCTTGGGCTTTTTGCTCCACATTTGTTTCTCTCCAGAGAGGAGTGACATAAAGCTAGTCCAGCTTTAGTGAGCAGTATATACCAGCTTGAAGATTGGTGTAGCAATTCCTGGGTGAAGTGAGAGTAAATAGAGAGTAATTAATAAAAGTGATGGATATTAACAAGAAGAAACAAAACAAACTATATAATTGAAAAGTATGTTAATATATATAATCAGAAAAAAACTGAATGGATGATCCAGATAAGATTGACTTTGAAATTTGTGAAAATTAAGTTTATCAGTTAATTACTATACATGGTAGCCTGGGTCTTACCTTCCTGGTCACTATTATCAGTTATTTTTAAATGTCTTAGTTCTTTTCTTTTGGAAGTCTTGAAATGCTACTTTTGTCCATTTAACCTTAAAGCATCACTCTGTGTCACCGATGGAACTAGTATTTTCTATTCTTCTACAGTTCTCTCTTGTTAAAACTCTAATAGAAAGTGCATGATGAACTTGAGACGTAGTCCTTCCAGCTAATGTCTTTTTTGTGAAGTGTAAACTTTAGTTTCCTCCTAGTTGATATGCGTAAGCTTTTGTCTTCCCTCAGTAGTTACTGTTTATTTTACTCCTTGCAGCATCTAAAGAACAAAATCTGTCCAGTCAAAGTGATTTTCTTCAAGAGCCGTTACAGGTAACTTTCCAAATTAATCTTTTATTCTTTGCTGCTCAAGGAAGAAGCTCTTGCTTTGGAAAGAATAATCAGACTTACTGATTCTCATGTACCTAATGAAATTATTAAAAGTGTTCTAAGCATATCTAGTTTTGTAGATTAAATACGACTTGTCCTAAAATGATTCCCCGATGACTATGCTGAAAACATATAGTACAGGTTTGCTGACTTTAGTAAGGAGAGACCAAGCCTGAAGAAATCAGAGGGTACCTTGTCTAAGAATATTATGTTCTCTTGAGCTACTTAAGTAATTTAGTTTATTAACATAGTAAAGTGTCTGAAGAAAGAAATTAATTTTTGTTGTTGTTGTTTTATTGAGACAGAGTCTCACTCTGTCGCCCAGGCTGGAGTGCAGTAGCATGATCTCGGCTCACTGCAGCGTCTGGTCTGCCTCACGGGTTCAAGCAGTTCTGTGTCTCAGCCTCCCGAGTAGCTGGGATTATAGGGCCTGCCACCACACCTGCCTAATTTTTGTGTATTTTTAGTAGAGACAGGGTTTCACCATCTTGGCCAGGCTGGTCTTGAGCTCCTGACCTCGTGATCCACCTGCCTTGGCCTCCCAAAGTGCTGGGATTACAGGTGTGAGCCACTGCACTCAGCCTTAATTTTCAAACTGTATTTGTTGAGCAGGGTATATTGGGGTTTTTCCTACTTTCCTCCAATTCACTGACTGCTTTTACTAAAGCAGTTACATTTTTTGTTCTAGCTGTTTAGGGTTCTACATAAGGCTTTCAATTGACAAGGTAAATTTTTTGAAAAGCACTGGTCTAGCTTAGTAGTTCTCTGGTGGAGGCTGTGGGATGGCTGCATCGAAGCCATCCCACTTTATATGTCATAAGGTATACATTTCTAGATAAGATCTTAGACCTGTTGGAGCAGAATTTTCTAGGGTGTTGCCTATATTTTTAAAAGCTTCCTGGATGAATCTTCATACCCATTTTTTGGAACATTGGTTTCAAATATCATGTTTATTCACCAATAACCCACCTCCAACTGGTCTACTTAAAAAGCACTAATTTGGAAGCAGGAACTGCCATCACTTCTAACTAAATACTAATGTAAATGTCTTTGTTATTAAATGAACCTTTTAACTGAAATTGAAGCCATTTTAAGATTAACTATCAAGTGGCCTAAGATGCCTTAATTTAGCATCTGTGAATCTTCCCTTAGCAACAGAGTTAGTTATTTCCCCACAACAGCCAGTTCTACTTTTCTTGGGCACTTGTCTCATTACTTTAATGACAGAGCCAGAAGAACGACCTAGTTTTAGAAACGCTCTAATCTTATAATGGTTCTAATATTTTGGCCAGATCTAAGTTATGCCTATTTACTTGGGTAATATAAAATGTTCTAAAGGATTTCAAATATTTTTTTCCATAAGATCTTAAAACTCAATCCCCAGTCTCCTTCCTAAAAAGCAACATATCATAATGCCTCCTTCAAGAAGGTCACTGAAACATGATTTCTCTGTTTTGTAACCCTTCATTAGTTTCCAGTTCACCTATTTTATTACTTGGGCTTCTGAGAACCACATAGAAGCATTTAGATAAAAGGAGTGGATTCACTGACACTTTAGATCTTGCTATTGCCAGATTTTTATGGGTGTCTCTCTGCTGTATTTGAATACCTGTTGTGCGATAGAATTCTTTCCTAGCCACTCTTTTAATTTTCTGTTGGTTACAGTTGTCACAACTTTTTTTCCTAATGTGCTTTCTCCCAATTTTTATTTTACATATGCTATCAGCTTGATTTTTCACTAGAATTTTTGGTGCCATTCTGATTTATGTAGAGCTTATTCTTCCTATTTATATTTCAGCCTGCCTCTTTAGGATGCTGATAGCACTTAGCATGAAAGCACAGTTATACTATGATCTCTGGCAGAGCTGTGCCTACAGTGTTAAACGTACCCGGAGCTCACCTTCCCGTGAATGCTATCTACTACAGGGCCAAGAATCAGTGAACATGGGATGAGATGTGTAGTTTTGGTGACCAGGCCTGGACAGGCAGTGTAGCTAGCTGGCTGCTTGAGTTTGAATCTCAGCTCTGCCACTTAATTGTAGTATGATCTTGGGCAAATGTCTTAACCTTTCTTTGCCACTGCTTAATTGTCAATAAAATGAGAATAGTACCTACCTCACAGATTACTGTTAGGATTAAATATATTAACACGTATAAAGTGTTTAGCAGAGTGCTTGACACATGTGCGTGTTCAGTAAGAGTAACATATTAGGAAGGCCAGGGCCCAAGAAATATAAAGTGAACAAAATGTGCCTTTTACAATATTTTGTATTTTCCTGTGTCTAGGCTACTTCTTCTCCAGTTACTTGTAGCTCAAATGCTTGCTTGGTTACTACCGATCAGGCTTCTTCTGGATCTGAAACAGAGTTTATGACCTCAGAGACTCCTGAGGTAAAAGACCAATTGTCTTAATTTCTTTTGTATCTTAAAGAATAGCAGAACCAGTTTATCTTATGAATTACAGGCATGATTAGTTGAATGATGTAACATTTATACTTTATTAATGTATTGCTTTCTATAGATATTGTGATCTTGGAACTTTTACAGGTAACTTTATTGTAGCTTTGCCATATAAATAGATTTAATATGGTATTGCCTTATCTAGTGCAATAAATGTCCATTTTTAATCTAAAAAAATGAAAAGTGTAGGTAGCATTAAGTCAAGTTTTCCACTATATTTACACTGAAGGACTTTTAGGAGAAAAGTCTCTTATTTGTATAAATGAAAGCTCAATAACTTTATTTTATTAATATTAGCACTTATTGAGTTGGAATGAGTTACAATCTTGTTTTGGCTAACTTTGTCAAAAATATTTTCGGTCAGATGCAGTGGCTCACACCTGCAATCCCAGCACTTTGGGAGGCCGAGGCAGGTGGATCACTTGAGGTCAGGAGTTCAAGACCAGCCTGGCCAACATGGTGAAGCCCCATCTCTACTAAAAATACAAAAATTAGCTGGGTGTGGTGGCTCATGCCTCTAGTCCCAGGTACTCAGGAGGCCGAGGACAGAGAATTGCTTGAACCCAGGAGGCGGGGGTTGCAGAGATTGTGCCACTGCACTTCAGCCTGGGTGACAAAGTGATACTTCATCTCAAAAAAAATAAATAAATAAAAACATTTTAACAGTATTATGTTTGTGCTTTCAATTTCAATTCTAAGTTACAGTTTTTACTAAGTTTGAGTAAATCCTTGAGATGGACATAGTAGGATGAATTTTGAGGAGTAATTTAGCAACTATCAGGTATTTTTTGTTAACTGTTATAGAAGAATATGTATTCATTATAGAATATAAGAAAATATAGATAATCCTTAGTTTTTATGGTGCTGGCTTGATCTGAATTTAAATTATCTCATTCCTCATTTTAAGAAGAGGAAGAAGTGATTGTTACCAAGTAACTCACAGCTGTCTGCTTCACAATCTAGTTGAGATTGGTTTTTGGTATTTTTTTTAAGCCTTTGGATTTATAATCTGTTATGTCAAGAACTTGTGGCTTCCTTAGGTAAGGATTACTTAAATTGGATCGGAGTTGTTTTCTGTTTTAGGTAGCTGACTTAGAAACCTACTAACTAATAAGTCTTTAAAATAGAGAAAAATTAACACTAAACAACTAATCCAAGTTTTTTCTTAAATCCAATTCTGATGTATAAATTTTGAATAATATTAGGTTCTTAACTGGAAATTACCATTTCAGGGTTTGAAAAGGACTAGGTGCGTATAAAAAGTTCAGCCCCTCATCTGTTAGACTGATTATTGGTAAGACTCTTTCACTTAGTCAGCAAGCTGTGCAAAGCAAATACTGGTATGCATCCTCAGCAATTGAGATTTGAAATTGTAAGCAAAAGCTATTCTTTTGCATTCCTGTGTCCAAATGTCATCCTAAAGAACTTGCTGACTTATGCCAGTTTGGGTTTTAGAGTAAGTTAACTGCTTGTTATATGGCAGGTGATTGGCTGATGCTGCATTTCTCCTCCCCAGGCAGCAATTCCCCCAGGCAAGCAACCGTCTTCACTAGCTTCTCCAAATCCTCCCATGGCAAAGGGCTCTGAACAGGGCTTCCAGTCACCTCCAGCAAGTAGTAGTTCAGTAACCATTAACACAGCACCCTTTCAAGCCATGCAGACAGTGAGTATGAAACATGAATGATGATTGCAGTTCATTATTCCTGTTAAAAGCCATTGTTTCTCTTACATAATTATTGGATACTATGTGAAAAGTTTGCCTTTTGTAAAATTTATTTGGGTTGGTAGAATTATATTTGGCCAATGGCAGTACTTGTTTGTGGCAGAAGAATAGGAAATCCACAGCCTCTAGAATTTTAAATGGGTGTTTTATCAGAGCATTATTCCTTCTTTTAGAATTAGTAGCAGGCAAAGCTGAGGATCCATATTAAACAAACAAAATGTGTGGGTGAGAAACAGAATTTCTAGCAACAGCTTAATAATACTAACCATTACTAATATCTTTACTAGTATTATTCCCTAACATCAGTAACCTGAAATACCGGACACATACTTGGGTGTTCTGTCATTGCTGAAACTTTCATTTTATTTTATCCTGATCTCAAGATGGTTTTTGGAGATTTGTTCAGATTTGTGTGGTGTTTTGAATTACGTATTTTTCTACAAATTGCAATTAAGGCTTTTTAAAAAAATAATATTACAGCTAGTTTGGTATGTTTATTCTCTAAACACAGACTAGTATAAAACAGTTCTTTGTGGGGGAAAAAAGCCTTAGTGAGCCAATAAGTACCCTTCCTATTGGTGCTTAGTGTCCCACTCCAAGCACTTCGGAGTGATGGTGGTAGTGGGGCCAGTGGAGTAGCATGGAAAGCAGGCACCACCCCGGGAGATCGGCTGGTGAGTCCAGACAGCTGAATTCACTCACCTGATCACTTAGAATATCTTATTTCTAGATAGAATAGTTCCTTGCTTTCACTCTTTTCCTGTCAGTTCATCCTGCACAGTATAGCCACATTGGTTTTACCTTTTCTTTTGTCTAATTAAAAGCAAGCAGTGTTCCATTACAGAATGAAATTTAGTACTCTGACACTCAGTACCTTTTCAAGTCTGTTATAACCTGTCACACTAGTCCCCTGAGCTTGCCTTATATATTCTTGTCACAGTACCTTTTGCTCATGCCAATCTGTTTTCTCTGCCTGTTTGAATCCTACCCGGTACACATTGGTTCTTACTCATTTATTGATTAAAGAATAGTTACAAAACCAGGCACTGTTCTTAATCACTGAGGTTGTAGCAGTGAAAAAAGGAAAGTATGCTCAGGAAACTTAACATTTTAGTATGGAGGTAGGAGGGCTAGGGAGACAAATACCTGTATATCAGGTGCTGTGTGATGTAAAGAAAAATGGAGCAGAATCAGGGAGCTAGAGAGTCATAGAAGGACAGATCGTTGCTTGCCACGTGGTAAAGATTCATTAAATGGTAAAATATTTCATTCATCTTTAGTTTTTGAAAAAAAGACCCCTTACCCTTGTATAGCTTTTATTCTCAGCATTATTATGATAGCATAATAGCAGGAAGATTAACTTTTGCTGTTAGGTGTAAAATCTGTCAGGAATCAAGTAGGAGTGTTTTTTTGTTTTTTTTTTACTATGGTAAAATGTATGTAACAGAATTTACCATTTTAATCTTTTTAAAGTATACAATTCAGTGGCATTAAGTATATTCATAATGTGCAATCATCATCACTACTTTCAGAACTTTGTCATTATTCCAAACAGAAACTCAGTACTCATTAAACAATAACTTCCTGTTTGTAACCCCCTCCACAGCTCTGCTAACCTCTATTCTACTTCGCTTCTATGAATTTACCTATTCTACCTCATATTAGTGGTATCCTACAACATTTTTCCTTTTGTATCTGGCTTACTGCACTTTGCATAATGTTTTCAAAGTTCATTTGCGTTATACAGTGTATCAGGATTTCATTTTTGTATGGCTGAATAATCCATTTTATGTATGTACTTCATTTCGCTTATCCATTCATCTGTTGGGAAATTGAGTTGTTTGTACCTTTTGGCTATTCTGAATAATGCTGCTATGAACATGGGTGTGTAAATATCTGTTTGAGTCCTGCTTTCAGTTATTTTGGGTATATACCTAGAAATGGAATTAGTGGATCATATGTTAATTCTATACTTTTTGAAAAGGCAGCATACTGTTTTCCACAGGGCGACTGCACCATTTTGCATTCCCACCGGCAATGCATGAGGGTTCCAGTTCCTCCGCATCCTTGCCAACACTTATTTTCTGTCTTTTTGATAATAGCCCTGCTAATGGGTATAAAATTTTATGGCATTATGGTTTGGATTTACATTTCCCTAATGACTAATGATGATGAGCATGTTTTCATGTGCTTATTTGCCATTTATCTTCTTTGGAGAGATGTCTATTCAAGTCCTTTGCCTGCAAAATAGAAGTTTTTGAATGTACAATTTTGCTGGATACCACCCTTAAGCATTTTCTTTGAAACTTCCCAAATGACTCAGTGTGTCCTTGTCTTTTAAGGTATTTAACGTTAATGCACCTCTGCCTCCACGAAAAGAACAAGAAATAAAAGAATCCCCTTATTCACCTGGCTACAATCAAAGTTTTACCACAGCAAGTACACAAACACCACCCCAGTGCCAACTGCCATCTATACATGTAGAACAAACTGTCCATTCTCAAGAGACTGGTAAGATCTTTGCATATGATATTTGGAAGACTTAGAGGGACAGCCAATTGAATGGACAGCAAGTCTAGGAAGTCTGTAGTGACACTTTAGAAGTATTTTCCTGACCAGTAAGCATTATTTCTTTACATGTTCCTCCAGTGTTGAGAAAAACCTAATGCCCTTTTTTGTGTTAAGTTTACCTATTAATTTTAATTTTTGTAGAGATAGAACTTAGATGACGGATTTAACCTTGAAGTAGGTTTGTATTTTTAAATCTATTTGCTTTGATTACCACAGACAGTGATTGAGGTAGATGGGCACTATCTGGCTGCTTATATGAAGGTTTTGAAACCATTCTGTTAATCCTTTTAACAAATGGTTATCTGTCCTTTTCTATCTTATAATAAAAGATTGAAGATATGACTTAGTATGCTCATTGTACTGTTTGCTTAGAGATGGGAGGCTATTTTGATTTTTCATGCTGTTCTAAATCATGAAAGAATAGGTAACTTTGTACTCATTTCTTAATTTAAATTTAAGAAGCACTTGTAGATTTTTTGTATTGGTATTTCAGATCCCTATTGAGTTTTTTAACTGAAGTCGGAGCAAATGAATTGAGCATTCTGAGTACTTGGCTAATCAAGTGATGAAGAGGTAGTAATATGAATTCTGGGACCTAGGCATAGATGACCTGATTCTGTTCTCCCCTCTACTGTTGAAAGACAGGGCAGGTGACTTACGTAAGGGATATTTTTGTCAGGTGCCTTCTCAGATATTAATTAGAATCCATTTTCTTTTACTCCCTCATCTGGAGTATTTAGCCTGCTTTTTAAAAATTGTCGTAAAGTATACATAACATAAAAATTACCATTTTAATCATTTTTAACTATATAGTTCTGTGGCATTAAGTACAACCAAACTGTTGTGTAATTATTACCACTGTCCACCTCCAGAACTTTTCATCTCCCCCCAACTGAAACTTTGTAATCATTTAATACTAACTCCTCCTCCTCCTCTCCCCCCAGCCCCTGGCAACCACCATTCTACTTTCTGATTCTGAAAATGACTGCTCTAGGTACCTCATATAAGTGGTATACAATATTTGTGCTTTTGAAACTAGCTTATTTTACTTGGCATGTCTTAAGGGTTCATTCATGTTGTAGCATGGGTCAAAATTTTCTTCCTTTTTTAGGCTGAATAATATTCCATTATATATATGAATTACGTATTTGAGTCATGTAGATGAATTATATACATGAATATATGTATCTCCTATTTATTTTTAAAGGCAGCAAATTGTATTAATGATTTTGATATATATTGGCTTTTAAGTATAAAGACTATTACCATTTAACTCTTGGACCCTAAAATCGTTTTTCTTAAGCAGCAAATTATCATCCTGATGGAACTATTCAAGTAAGCAATGGTAGCCTTGCCTTTTACCCAGCACAGACGAATGTGTTTCCCAGACCTACTCAGCCATTTGTCAATAGCCGGGGATCTGTTAGAGGATGTACTCGTGGTGGGAGATTAATAACCAATTCCTATCGGTCCCCTGGTGGTTATAAAGGTATGCCCTGAATAAAATTGAATTATACTGAATTATTTTGTCTGTGTGTTTACTTGACTCACACCATTTTTACCTAACCTTGCTCCCTTTTGTCATTTGCAACGTAGTAGAGAATTTCCTGTTTGTGGATAATAAAGTATTTTTAATATACCTATTCTCCATAACAGAGGAACTAATTTTCTGTATGAAAAGCAGATTGATTTTGTGACTTACTGAAGTGGAAAGTTTCACCATATTGTTTTACAAAGGATGAATTTTCATATTTGAGTAATGTTTTTCTTTTGTTGACTTAACTCTGCTAAAAGTGTATCATATTTACAAGATGCCCATTTTCTAATTATTTCTAGTTATTTGTTAGATTATGTCACAAAGAAGAATATAGAATTTGAGACTATAATAGTGATATTCTCTTAAACTGTTGTTATGGTTCCAAGTGTCCTAGTCACTACTTATTATTAACAAAAATACTCTAGACAGGCTGGGTGTGGTGGCTGACGCCTGTCATCCCATTACTTTGGGATGCCAAAATAGGAGGATCATTGAGGCCAGGAGTTTGTGACCAGCCTGGGCAACATAGTGAGACCCTACCTCTACAAAGAATTAAAAAATATTAGCTGGGCATGGTGATATGCACCTGTAGTCCCAGCTACTTGGGAGGCTGAACTGGGAAGAATGCTTGAGTCCAACAGTTTGAGGTTACAGTGAGCTGTGATCTCACTACTGTGCTCCAGCCTGAGTAACAGAGCGAGGCACTGCCTATAAAAAAGCAAACAACAACAAAACAACCCTAGACAGAGGCCCTAAGTACCTAACTGCCCTACCACCACCCTTTCCCAACCCCACCTTGCATTTAGCAGTAGTAAATTTATAAACCTGGCTTATTTGAAGACAGCAATGTTCTATAAATATGTTTTACTTTGGAAGCAATATTAGTAGAGTTTGCTTAAAGAGGGCATAAGTCTAATGATGGCATTATATAATCAATTTAACTTTTAAAGCAATATAGAATTAGACTGTTTAAAAGTTTAATATGATTTTGTCCATAATCTTATGTAAGTTTGTTTATTTATTAGGTTTTGATACTTATAGAGGACTCCCTTCAATTTCCAATGGAAATTATAGCCAGCTGCAGTTCCAAGCTAGAGAGTATTCTGGAGCACCTTATTCCCAAAGGGTAAGTAAGAATAGTTGTCATAGTTGAATAGTGGTACAGTTGTTGATGTTAAGCTGGTGATTGAAGTATATCGCAGAGTCATAATTTGTTTTCTGAAAGTGCACTCTTAGTTTTAAAACTACTTGTAAGTCCTATGGAGAAGAGTTGAGTTGGAAGTTTTTGCAATTACCCAAGAAAGATAAATGATAATTGCTTGTTATGTGGAACTTAGAAGGTGTTAAGGACATTATTAATCATGTTGTTTGCATTAACTCATTTGCTCTTCCACCTCACAGGAGAAATGGGTTCAGAGGTTAAATAACTTACCTAACGTCACTTATCAAGGAAATGGTAAACTAAGATTAGAATGTGACTTTCTTACTCCAGAGCCCATGATTTTAACTTTACTACATTGCCTTCAGCTTAACTTGCCTAAATAGCAAATGTAGCAAAGCCCTTTTTCGTTAAGTTTTTTGTTGTTGTTTATACTTACTTGAAGAACCCAGCATATTTTCTTTACTACATATGGTAAAAGACTCATAAGAGGATGTTAGAAATTCCACTTTAACAAAACTTGGGAACTTACGGATTTGAATCTATAATACATCAGCATATTCAGTTTTGAAGTTTTACAAGCTTTTGAGTATGTGTATGGTACCATACTGAGTTCTGTTGGTAATATATAAAATACCTATCCTTGAAGAACTTACAGTTACATAGGGTAGGATGGATATCCACACAGAGGCAGTATTGAAAAGGGTGAAGGCCAGGCGTGGTGACTCACGCCTGTAATCCCAGCACTTTGGGAGGCTGAGGCAGGTGGATCACTTGAGGTCAGGAGTTCGAGACCAGCCTGACCACCAACAGGGTGAAACCCCATCTCTACTAAAAATCAAAATTAGCCGGACGTGGTGGCACACGCCTTAATCCCAGCTACTCAGGAGGCTGAGGCAGGAGAATCGCTTGAACCTGGCAAGTGGAGGTTGCAGTGAGCAGAGATAGCGCCATTGCACTCCACCCTGGGCAAGAAGAGCGAGACTCTGTCTCAAAAAAAAAAAAAAAAAAAAAAAAAGAGTGGAAAACATCTTGGAATCTAAATGCCTTGGGTTTGACCCCTCATTTATCACTTCTCTTGCCATGTGACCTCAGATAAGTTAGTGAAACTTTTTGAGCTCTAATTCCTCATCTGTTAGTTTTTCATCTAACACTGAGGTATTCTCCATGAGATATTCTGAGAATTAAATGAACTAAAGCACCTAAGTGCTTAGCACTACAGAGCCAGGTGTGTATATCAGCCGTGCAAATATTAGATGTTATTATGTGATCCTCAGGGAATGTATGTGAGGGGAGGATGTTTATTAATACAGACTTAGGTAAAAGAACTGTCTCTTCTTAATACCACTATTACAGTATTTTGTGTGCTCTTTTACATTTTTCCTGAGGAACAAGAAACTGATAATGCTAGTTGCTATTGCAAAGGGGCAACTGGGAGTATGGAGTAAGAGGCTTTATTATTTTTATTGTGTACCTTCTTGTCCTGTTTCAATTTTTATTGCATATAATAATTACACCACTAATTATTCTTTTCATGGGTTGTATGAAGTTTGGCTTCCTTCATACTTGAGTTTGTTTGAAGTACTGCCCCTGGAACATTTTTTCTTAATATATTAGATTATATTTCTAGGCAATAAATATATTTATACAATATAATTTTTTATCAATTTCTTAAAAAAAAATTCCCAAACCCCAACACAGTTGGTATTGGTCTTCCCAGTTTGGTGTATAAATAGAGCAAGGTTGAGAAAAGTCTGTGTTTTTGCTTTATGATGTCCTTTTATACTGAGATGAGGGACAGAGGACCATGCCACATTTAAAAATTTCTCTCATTACCTAGCATTGTATCTTTTACATAGTATTCTCCAAGTGCTTTGTTGTTTTTCAGGTATTAACAGATCTGATTGGTCAGGTTAATTAACAGGTGAAGCAAGTAATGCCACTGTTGCCCTTGCTTTGTTTTTCTTAGTGTTTGGAAACATCTGAGCCTCTTTGGTTGCTGGGGAAGGCCAGGTAAAGAACTAAGGGGACTAATCTTATTTGCCAGCCGGTAGTCCTGTGTAATAACCAATTATAGTCCTGCATTTTTGATGCCAAGGTAAATATTATATGTTCACTTTAGGATAATTTCCAGCAGTGTTATAAGCGAGGAGGGACATCTGGTGGTCCACGAGCAAATTCGAGAGGTAAGGGTAATTAGCTGAATAGTTTTCTTACCCAGCACATGTCTCTAGTTCTTTCTGCATCCTCTACCAAGTTCTTTCCAAAGCACATTGCTTTTTAGCATTTATCTTGTTGAGGTTTTCAATTTGCTTGAATGTAGTACTAAAGTACTAAGGGAGATACTAGACCACTAGATAGGCTATGGAAACCAATTGCAAATTGAATTAAAAGGGTGGGTGTTTTTTAAAAATCTGCTTGACACTAGAGCATATTTAACTTTATATATTCACTATGCTGATTTCGAATAT
Organism: Homo sapiens; assembly: GCF_000001405.40. Classification (NCBI taxonomy): domain Eukaryota; kingdom Metazoa; phylum Chordata; class Mammalia; order Primates; family Hominidae; genus Homo; species Homo sapiens. The sequence continues at coordinate 30,711,280 of NC_000012.12, read as the reverse complement.
TTTTCATGTGATGATTCACGATGGTGGTTTTTGTAATAATGGGTACTTCTTACTGTAGTGTCACTGCATTAATAGATTCAAATAAGCACAAATTAAGACACCGTGACTTGAGACAATAGCAGAATAGTTATAACACTTTTTAAAATGTGAAGGAACTATTAAAAGTTTGTATAAGGGAGAAGAAAAATCACTGAAGAGTAACTTTGGCACAGGAAAGCAATCTTTTCCTTCTGAAAAAATAGCTAGTATTCAATTTGCCTTTGCCTTAGTGTGAGCAGTGTTTTTGTATGGCACTTAAAACATTACAAGTGTATGACTTGGAAATAAAAAAAGCATTCATCATCATGGGACTTAGTTCCATATCAATATATCTCTGAATGGCTAGTGGCTAGTAGTTCTAAAAATTGGTTCTTTTATGTAGTCTCCATTTTCTTGAGACCTTCTACATTAGGTGCTTTGTAGAATGACCTCTGAGAAATTAAGAATTATGGGAGGAAGATGAAGTAAAAAGTGTTCAGACCTGAGTTTTAGACTTTGCTAAGTTATCTGGCCTTTTGGGGGCCACATTTTCTTAATCTTAAAAAAGGATCAGTTAGACAAGATTATCTTGGACCTTTCTGGCTTTAGAAGAGTATGTAAAAACCTATTACCAGAAAAATCTAGAAAAGTATAATCTAGCTATATATTGCTTTTGTTTTGGAATTTACTATAAAATGTATCTTTGTCTGTTTCAGTAGCCGACTAATGTTAAATATTGTGTTCAAAGCTAACTGCTTCATTATGAGAAACTCACTGTTGCTAATAAAACAGCAGGGTGGAGTGATTCTTCTCAGGTGAGCAGCCCAGAAAGAGACAACGAAACCTTTAACAGTGGTGACTCTGGACAAGGAGACTCCCGTAGCATGACCCCTGTGGATGTGCCAGTGACAAATCCAGCAGCCACCATACTGCCAGTACACGTCTACCCTCTGCCTCAGCAGATGCGAGTTGCCTTCTCAGCAGCCAGAACCTCTAATCTGGCCCCTGGAACTTTAGACCAACCTATTGTGTTTGATCTTCTTCTGAACAACTTAGGAGAAACTTTTGATCTTCAGCTTGGTAGATTTAATTGCCCAGTGAATGGCACTTACGTTTTCATTTTTCACATGCTAAAGCTGGCAGTGAATGTGCCACTGTATGTCAACCTCATGAAGAATGAAGAGGTCTTGGTATCAGCCTATGCCAATGATGGTGCTCCAGACCATGAAACTGCTAGCAATCATGCAATTCTTCAGCTCTTCCAGGGAGACCAGATATGGTTACGTCTGCACAGGGGAGCAATTTATGGAAGTAGCTGGAAATATTCTACGTTTTCAGGCTATCTTCTTTATCAAGATTGAAAGTCAGTACAGTATTGACAATAAAAGGATGGTGTTCTAATTAGTGGGATTGAAGGAAAAGTAGTCTTTGCCCTCATGACTGATTGGTTTAGGAAAATGTTTTTGTTCCTAGAGGGAGGAGGTCCTTACTTTTTTGTTTTCCTTCCTGAGGTGAAAAATCAAGCTGAATGACAATTAGCACTAATCTGGCACTTTATAAATTGTGATGTAGCCTCGCTAGTCAAGCTGTGAATGTATATTGTTTGCACTTAATCCTTAACTGTATTAACGTTCAGCTTACTAAACTGACTGCCTCAAGTCCAGGCAAGTTACAATGCCTTGTTGTGCCTCAATAAAAAAGTTACATGCACCTTCAGTGTTCCTATTTAATTAAACATTTAGTTGAGAGGTAAAATATCTGCTTTTTAATAGTCATCACTGATAACTCTTGAATGGTTATTTCTTCATGGGCTCATGCTGTTATTTTAAAATAAGACATATATATATAACAGTTCCTTCTAGGGTTACTTTTCTCTGATATTATACATGCCATTCATCAAAACATTTGATCTGTTTTCCATGGGCCAAATCATGCATTCTTCTTGAAGCTATTCTGTTTTGCAGTAGGGCATGGGCTTCCTTTAGTCAGCTATCTTTGGGTAGCTACTACATGTGTAGTAATATACAATAGGAGATACACAGGTAATACTACTGGCCCACCATCAATAAGACTTACACTTTCTAGTGGATTCTCAATTTAATTTGAGCAGGCAAAATGCTAAGACATTGAAAAGCAGAGGCTCTGTGGTCAGGCAATGCTGTGTTTCAGAGTCCTGATTCTGCCACTTAGTAGCTAATCTTAGAGAAGTTATGTTACCTCTAAGATCTCTCTCTCTTAAATACTGTTTCTCAAATGTAAAATGTGAATGGATGATAGATTACCATCAGGACAATTGTGAAGTTTAAGAATATATCTAAAGGATTGAACGTAGTGCCTGGCACATACACGTTTAAGAAATGCAGTAAAATTTAGTGTTCGTTCTAGCCATATGATACTTTCTCACACTTAAAGCTTGTATGTCTTCAGTAATAAGGTTTTTTATTTCTCAGTTTAAATAATAATTTTTGGCCTGGTGCAGTATCTCACGCCTGTAATCCCAGCACTTTGGGAGGCTGAGGTGGGCAGATCACCAGAGGTCAGGAGTTCGAGACCAGCCTGGCCAACATGGTGAAACCCTGTCTCTACTAAAAATACAAAAATTAGCCAGGCGTAGTGGTGGGTGCCTGTAATCCCAGCTACTTGGGAGGTTGAGGCAGGAGAATGGCTTGAGCCTGGGAGGCAGAGGTTGCAGTGAGCCGAGATCATGCCACTGCACTCCAGCCTGGGTGACTGAAAGAGACACTGTCTCAAAAAAAAAAAAAGAATTTTAAAAAGTGAGCATTTTGGTTGCATTTTCGGGACTATATTAAGGGTTGCAGAAGGGCGTTATTACACATCAACTAAAGCAAGTAATCTGCTGAGGCAGAAAATAATTTGCCGGGTCTGACCCACAGACCCTGGCTGAACTATGGATGAAAAAATGTACCCTGACACAGGTATTTTGCCTGACAGAGTGATGAGGGGACTTCACTGCTCAGCACCGCTGACGAGAGAGTACAGCGAGAGTGAAGCCCCAATAAGCCAGCAATATTTGTATTTATTTAGTACAGATTTAATGACAAAAGCTTTGAGTCAACACACGTGTGGGTAATTAACATGCCCGCTCCCCTCCCCCACCCACCAAGAGAGCAGTCCTGTGCACGAATGATTAAAGGCCAGGTTCCAGGTTCCGAAGCCTGAGTAAACTAACTTACCTAGATCAATTCCTTTACATCCCCTTGTTATCTAACCTAAGCTTTTAAGAGAATTCAGCTGCCTTCAGCCAAATTGTCTTTTGAAGCTTTTGCAGAACCTCCTGGCCTTCCAAGAAGGTTTGCTTCTTTCTATAATTTCCTCTTATAATTTCTCCCACCGCCCTGTCTGAACTCCTACAATAATTGTTTTGATCCTCCTCTCTGAGGTGTTGAGTAATCTCAGGAAAACGGTATAACAGCATTACGTTTATTACAGTTGCTATTTTTGAGCTGGGTGTGGGTTCAGCAATTACACCCTGAAGCCATGTTTAACTCTCCATGGTGTTAAATGCTAGTGTAGTGTTCTCAAGATAGAATATGTGATTTGATTCAGTACCTCACATAACTTTTTCAGCTTATGGTAGGAATTTTGTAGGGTAGGGATAATAGTATTCCAGTTAAAAAAATTAGTTCATGGCTTTTATGTCCATAACACAACTAAAAAGCACATAGAAAAGTGGTAATATGATTAAATGATGGAGGGGAAAACTTGATGTTTAAGAACAATTGGTGATCAGTAGGGCCTTTCTCTAGCTGTGAATTTCGTACTGCATTAAAGTATTCAGCGTAGTTTTTTTCTTACACACACAATGTTTATTTAAAATACTCTGGGCAACTCTATATTTTTTTAAAGATAAGTGTCCAACATCAAGAGAGTCATTAATTAGGGTATCCCCTTATGGTAAGAGTCATATTTTAGGAGAGTATTTGAAATGTTACTTTGCTAAGTATAAAGATAATGAACTAGACATTTTTTGACTTATAAGAATGAATGGACAAGATATTTCATTCTGAAGCAGTATAACTTTGAAGCTAGTTCTGGAAGCTATTACTAAAAGCAGATGTCTTTACGGAAAGATGTGCACATACACAGAATTTACATACATTTGTAAGAGATAGAGTAGGGATCCAGAGATATCTAAAGTCCATTTATGGACCTTGTGGAAAGAACTTATGTTTTGCTGGGAAGATCTTATTGTAGATATGGCTTACATGGAGAGACATTCCATATAATTATTCCATATAATTATCTGAATATACAAATACTTAGTTGTTTTACTAAAAGCAGAGATGAGGGAGGTAAAAGAAGTTTCCTGTTTACTAGATTCTCCTCGGAGTTTTTTAAGTTTTTTAGTCTTTTATTAAGTGATGTCTCTCCTCCCTACGCCCAAAGTTGTGAGCCACTGACTTTTATCTCCTCTAAAATGATTTGAGTAAATGCAGGCATTTAAAGCAGGATTTTTTTAAGAGGTTTGCTCACTTGTTTCCTGTACTAGTTATCTGTCAACCATCCCATTTTTCTGTTTACCTTTCTCAATTCCATAATAGCTTTATTTTTACAATCCTATGACATCACATACTGTGTTTTTATACTCTTAATCTTTCCTGTTTGCACAGTTAAACTCTTTAGCTTTAATGATCAGTGTTCTATTGTGAGCCTTATGATAACTAGGATGTTATTTTATGTATTTTAAAGGTGAAATAATTGTTAGCATATACAGTGTTTCCATATTGCTAGGTACAGTGGCTTACGCTTGTAATCACAGCACTTTGGGAGGCTGAGGTGGGTGGATCGCTTGAGTGCAGGAGTTAGACCAGCCTGGGCAACATGGTGAAGCCCTGTCTCTACAAAAAGATATAAGAAATAAGCTAGGTGTGGTGTCGTGCCCCTGTAGTCCCAGCTACTCAGGAGACTCAGGTGGGAGAATCACCTGAGCCTGGGCGTTGAGGCTGCAGTGAGCTGTAATTGTGCCATTGCACGCCAGCCTGAGTGGCAGAATGAGACCCTGTCTCAAAATAAAATGTTTTTTTGTATGACTTATCTCCTCCTCTGCCAAATACTTTAAATAATTTTGATGAGAAATTTAGCTCTCTGGTTTCTCTACTTGCTACTCTATATCAGGGGTGTTCTTACTGACCACTTTCGTGATTAGGCCACAGTAGTTTTGTTCTCATTTCGACAGTTTACAGGTACAGCTCATTTGCTACCAGTGCAAGATATTGAATGCTAGATTATAAAATGATTGTATTCATTATTAATACCAAGAGGACTTAGCCTCAGTAATTCTGTTTCTCAAGCATTACTCCTTTATTCATTTTATTTCAAAGACCCTAAACTTTGGTAATGATTAGTCTTTCAAATATTTGGGTTATCTGATTTGTATCTGACTCTGGGACTACAAAGATGAACGACATTCAAATATTCAGACACCTCAGGTGTGTCCATTTCACCCACTGAGAGCAAGTCTCTTTAATTATTCATTTGATTTTTATCACACTTTTCCTCCTCTCTGTCTGAAAGTGTTACTATTCAAAAACTAGATTTTTGGATCACTTCTATAACTTCCTTATCTTTTCTCTTGTTTCTGATTTTTATTGGGAGATTTCTTTGACTTTATCTTCCTACCTTTTTATGAAGTTTTAAATTTTCATTAACATTCAAAATTTCTAAGTAGACCTGTTATCTGAATGTTCATTACATACAGTTGTCCCTCAGCATCCATGGGGGATTGTTTCCAGGACCCCTACAGATACTAAAATCTGCAAATGCTCAAGTCCCTGATACAAAAGGGAGTAGTGTTTGCCAATAACCTCCACACATCCTCCTGTATACTTTAGATCATCTCTAGATTATAATATGCTGTGTAGATGCTATGTAAATAGTTGTTATACTGGATTGTTTAGGGAATAATGACAAGAAAAAATGGTTTGTACATGTTCAGTACAGAAGCAAGCATCCTTTGTTTCCCTGAATATTTCCAATCTGTGGATGTGGGACCTGTGGCTATGGAGGGCCAACTGTGTATGCTGTTCTTGTTTCATGATTGTGTTATTTTCTCATTACTCTAAGGATAGTTTTTTAAAAGGTTTTTTTTGCCCTAAGTAGTCTATTTACTACACTTTTTCTATTCAATTCACTTAACTGCATTGTTTTATTTGCTCAGAATCTTGTGATAATTGGCTGACTGTTTAAGAATGGAGCACCAACCCCACACCTATTGGGGGGTCATCCTGGAAGGACATCCAACAAAGTTGGAGACCCCAACTCTGGTATGGGGTGTGGGGTGAAAAGCAGGTCAAATTCAGGTTTCAAGACAGGCCAAGCTCAGTGCATTTTCTTGTCCACTGCCTCAGTTTACCTACATTCAGAAGATGGTCCAGGAAGAGTTGAGCAGAGTTGGCTCCAAAACATTAGGGTGCTAACAGCAAAACAATTCCAAGACTTCATCTTGCTGTATGCCAAAATAATTTATCTTGAGAGATGGGGATGAGTGGATGGTGGGTGCATGGTGGAGCTCTGAGGAGCCCGGTCCAGAGCCCCATCTTAGGGGGATACAGAGGACTTCCTGCCTGCTCACGGCCCCCTCTGGCCCTCACTTGGCGTGCACAGGTCACCATCCATAGCAATGATGCTTCATGGGTCCCGAGGTCTAGGTGAAGGGGAGAACTGACCATCCTATCCCAACCTCCTGGGGCTTCATGCTTATGTTCTTATTGAAGAAACACAAAGCCCTCGAGATTCATGTAACTGTATGATGGAGAGAAAAAAGTACCTAATGTTTCCCAAAAAAGGCAGTATATTTTGTACTTTGTAAAGTGTTGATTAAAATGAAGGGGAAAAAAACAGGAAAAAAAAAAGAATGGGTCACCAAAAAGATGACTGGAAGCTTGAATGTAAAAGGTAGGGCTTACTCATTTGGGGCTTCATGATAGCATTATTTTTTGTCAGGGTAGGGAACACCAATGTAGGGGTATGGAAGAGCATTCTAAGTGGGACACAAAACCCAGAAGCCCTAAGGATAAATTAAACACACATAATTTATTCCCACAAGACTTTTGATTGGAGGAAAATATCAGCATCAGAAGACAAAATGGCCACCTGCAGTGGGAGGAAATCAATAAATAAAAAAGGGCAATGAATGTGAAGAAGCAGTTAATACATGAAAACATTTTCAGTAAGCGTATTTAAGGTTTTAAGGCACATACTTTGGCAAGCATGTGGGGAAATGGGCATTCATGCTGTAGTTTGGAATAAAATTAGTCTATTTTTGGAGAGTAAATTGGTAATGACTGTTAAGGTAAAAACACACACACACACACACACACACACACACACACACACACACACACACTTTTGACCCAGAAATTCCGCTACTAGGAATTTGCCCTACAAATAGTAGAACAGAATCGATAACATCTCATTTGTGTGAAAAATCGTAAAAGCATATATCCGATTGCTTGAACTTTTTTCTGCTAGGATGTACAAGAAATTTGAAGGTGTTAGCTTTAAGGAAAGGGTTTGGGGCTTGTTGGGGGAGGAAGACTTGCTTTTCATTCTGAACTTTAGAACTTAAAAGGTATATATCACTTTTTTGTTAAAAATTTTAAACTAAGAGATAAAATGGTAGGTTGCTATAGGGGAACCTACCCTGCTTGTCTTTCTTTGGATAGTTTGAGGGTTTGTTTTAATTATCAAGTCTGGGATAATACTTTTAAAAAAAGCCTAAGTACTTAAAAGGCTAAGTATTATCCACAATACACTAATTTTTGCATTTCACTTAATACTTTACTGCCATATATGTAACTTTTTTGTTGTTTGTTTTTTGAGATAGGGTCTCACTCTGTCCCCCCAGGCTGGAGTGCAGTGGTGTGATCATGGCTCACTGCAGCCTTGACCTCCTGGGCTCAAGTGATCCTCCTGCCTCAGCCTCCTGTGTGGCTAGGATTTCAGGTACACACCACCACACCTAGTTAATTTTTGGGAAGTTTTTTGTTTTCGTTTTTTTGAGACAGAGTCTCGCTCTGTCACCCAGGCTGGAGTGCGGTGGTGTGATCTCGGCTCACTGCACCCTCTGCCTCCTGGGTTTGTGCAATTCTCCCTCAGCCTCTCAAGTAGCTGGGATTACAGGCATGCGCCACCATGCCCGGCTAAGTTTTTGTATTTTTAGTAGTGACGGGGTTTCACCATGTTGGCCAGGCTGGTCTTGAACTCCTGACCTCAAGTGATCCATCTGCCTCAGCCTCCCAAAGAGCTAGGGTTACAGGCATGAGCTACCACACCCAGCTGTTTGGGGGTTTTTTAGAGACGAGGTTTCACCATGTTGCCCAGGCTGGTCTTGTATTCCTGGGCTCAAGTGATCCACCAGCTTCAGCCTCGCAAATTGCTGGGATTATAAGCATGAGCCACCAGGCCTGGCCCATATATGTAAACTTATTTTTTCCTTACAGTGGCCCTGGTGAGGTAGATATTGTTTTAGGGGATAAGAAAATGGAAACTCTTGGAGATTGACTTTCTAAGGCCATTATCAAAAGGGCTGAGCTAGAGCTAGCTCTCTCAAGTCCAAATACAGTGCAACATTCTCTGCAGTATCTACTTTAGCTCTCTAGTGCTGCAGCTGTTAACATATTTTCCACTGCTGTCTCATTCATATGCTTTTGGTGCACTATGGCAAACTAGACACTTTGTGAACTATATGAACCACTCAGTTGAGGTTGTCTTAAGTCATAGTTTCTCAGAGGTCCTGAAGCTGAGGAAGGGGATGGCCTCTTTTTCAATGTGAAAAGTGGAAAGCCTGAGGAGGTGAAGAAACAACATCTTGAAGACAAATTTATTTGAAAGTAAATATTTTTTCTTCTGTCCTATTTAGTACTACTATTTGCACCTTGCATCCTTTCCCATCACTGCTATCATTGTAGCCTCTGGAGAAGAAAGTTGCTGGCTCCTGTTTAGAAACTTTGTAACACTGCTCTAACTCCTATTACTTTAGCTTATGTATCACTGATTTTTTGTTTTTTAAGAAATTCCTCTTAACAATTCCTATGTATTTTATATTCTCCATATATTATATACATAAATTCCTCTCTCTAAATTTATATATATATATATATTCTCACATATACAGTTGACTCTTGAACAACATGGATTTGAACTGCGCAGGTCCACTTACATGTAATTTCAACCAAATGCCAATAGAAAATACAATCAATTTTTGCAGGATATGGAATCCGAATATAAAGGAGGGCTGACTTTTTGTATCCTGGGGTTCTGCAGGGCTGACTAGAGGACTTGAGTATACACGGCTTTGGGTATACATGGATGTCCTGGAACCAATCCCTTGGGCATACGAGGGGATATATTTCAAGTGCTTATCATATAGAGCTGTGCCAGTATAGACTTTTTTTTTTTTTTTTTTTTTTTTTTTTGAGACAGAGTCTCACTCTGTCACTCAGGCTGGAGTACAGTGGCATGATCTCAGCTCACCGCAACCTCTGCCTTCTGGGTTCAAGTGGTTCTCCTGCCTCAGCCTCCCAAGTAGCTTGGATAACAGGCATGTGCCACCATACCTGGCTAAGTTTTTGTATTTTTAGTACAGACCGGGTTTCACCATGTTGACTAGGCTGGTCTTGAACCCCTGACCTCAAGTGATCCACCTGCCTCGGCCTCCCAAAGTGCTGGGATTACAGTTGTGAGCCACTCACCCCGCTGCTCAGTTTAGACACTTGGAGCAGAGGTCTTTAATGATAAACTTTATAGTATTTAAGAGATGCATTATTAAACTTACAGATAGGATTTTCAAGTGTTGGTTTTTAACTCTCATTTTCTCTTTACTGTATGGATTAGATTCAAGCTTACTAACATACACCAACAGATGAGCTGCTGCCAACAGATGGGGAGGACAGCTGTGTGATATTCCATTTAGATGACTAAAATGTTAAATCTCAAAAAAGTCCACAGTGTCAGTGCTTGGAGTAAAAATTACTTTCTGTAATTTGAGCTGTAATCATGCCAGTTATTCTGTATGCTGTATTTCTAGGGTAATGCCATCCACTTCTATGATGTCAACTGCCCTATGTGCACATAAGGCTTACAGCTCTCTTAACTCCATCCCTTTATTTCTTCCTCTTCCACTGGCCATAGCTTCCTGCCTCCCCACTCAGCTCATTGATGAGTTATTCACTGGAAATCTCTAGGCATGTAAACTGTAAGCACTTCTAGTTCAATACATCCAAAGGCTAACTCATCTTTCCTCCAAAATCTAGTTATGTTTTCCCTGGTTAATGACTTCCATAGGTCATCAAAGCTTGAAGCTTTAAAATCATTCTTGACTTACCTTAGTTACTTTGTATACCTAACCCATCACGAATTACTGTTGATTCTTCCTGTGAAATGGCTTATATCTTTTGGCCTTCATGCCTACTGTGGATATCCTGTTTTGGACCCCTTCTCTCTCACATGCATTCACTTACTCATTCAACCAGTGCTGACGGATTGTTTATTGTGTGCCAGGCATAGTGTGAGATGATGTCTGATTCAGCAATTTTGAATAAGGCCTCTCTTCTCTTAAATAGACTACAATGATGTATTTATTGCACATGTCCCATGGGCTTATCTCATCTAGTCCCTAAAACAGCTTTTGGAAGCAGATGAGGAAACAGGCACAGAGAGGGGAGGCATATTTCAAACCATGAAAATACAAGACAATATCACTGGTTCAAATTCTACCTGAAACGAGCTGAGGGCATCAATAAATATAGAAAGCCTCTCATTATGCAAAGTGAAAAAAAAAGATTCAAACAATGAGTCATATGTAAGTTGAACATAAATTATAGTTTAGGGAAAATCATTTTAAAACGCTTGCCAAGAAATCTGAGAGCAGAATCCGAGAGCTCATGGCTTTTTCTGATCTTTCCTGTTTTCTTGGCCACCCCTAATTTGATAGCATTGTATTTTAGTAACTTGTCTTCAGTGAGTCTGTCCAAAGCATACAAAGTTTTCATGGGAACATCAGCTCTTTTTAATTACGTACTTTGGGTAAAATTTTTATTTTGATATAATTGTAGATTCACATGAAGTTGTAAGAAATGATACAGATAGATCCTATGTACGATTTTTCCAGTTTCCTTCAACAGTAACATCTTGTAAAACTATAGTACAACATCACAACTGGGATATGGACATTGATACAGTCAAGAAACGAACATTTCCATCATCAGAATTCCTCATATTGCCCTTCTACAGTCACACCCACTTCCCCCTTGCCACCACCTCCACTTTAACCCTTAGCAACCATGGATCCTTCTATATTTTTTAAATTTTAAGAATGTTATATAAATGGCATTTGACAAGATGCAACCTTTGGGATTGGCTTCTTTCCCTCAGCGTAATTCTCAGAAGATTCATCAAGGTTGCTACATGTATCTTTTTTTTTGTTGCTCAGTAGTATCCCATGGTATAGATGTACCATGTTTATTTAACCATTCACCCACTGAAGGATATCTGGATTGTTTCCAGATTTGGGTTATGATGAATAAAGCTGCATATACACTCACAAGGTTTTTTTTATGAGCACAAGTCTTCATTTGTCTAGGACCAATGCTCTGGAGTGCAATTGCTGTGTCATATGGTAGTTGCATATTCAGTTTTTTAAAGAAACTGCCCAATTGTTTTCAGAAAGGCTGTATCACTGTACATGTTACCACCAACATATAAGTGATCCAGTTTCTGTACATCCTCACCAGCGTTTGGTGGTGTCACCGTTTTTGATCTCTCCTTTTATGTTATTGGAATAACTACCTTAAGTCTCTCCCTTCTCCAATCTATCATCTTCAGTGCTGAGTTCAGTTTTAGACATGTGCCTTAAGTGATTTGAGGGATAGATATTGGTAGAAATGTATAGGCATTTGGATATATTTAGTTTAAGGGAAGAGATCTTACAACTAGTTTTGTAAGCTATCTTTGTTTAGTTGATGGTTAAAGTTATGTAAGTGGATGAAATTACTGAAAAATGGGTGGATGAGAAAGAGAAGATGGCTGAGGACAGAGTCCTGAGAAGCGTCGAAGACTTGGGCGATTGAGTAATCAAAGGGTTAGGAATGTATTCTGTAAGAGAAAACAAGAAAAGAGATAATTTAAAAATAGTATGAAATATGATACCGGATATTAGAGGCTGGGTGTGGTGGCTCACACCTGTAATCCTAATTTGGGAGGCTGAGGCTGCCAGATTGCTTGTGCCTAGCAGTTTGAGACCAGCCTGAGCAATGTGGTAAAACCCTGTCTCTACTAAAAATAAAGCTGGGCGTGGTGGCATGTGCCTGTAGTCCCGGCTACTTGGGAGGCTGAAGTGGGAGAATTACCTGAGCCCAGGAGGTCGAGGCTGCAGTGAGCAGTGATCATGCCTCTGCACTACAACCTAGGCAATGGAAGTGAGACGCCCTCCCCCAATCTCTCAATCTCTCTCTCTCTCTATACATACACACACACACACACACACACACACACACACACACGCGCGCGCGCGCGCGCGCGAGAGAGAGAAAATTTAAGTTGAGAACTAAAAATGTCTCTTGCAGTTGGTATACCCCCTAAAGAGGTCGGTGTTCATCTTTGCTTGGCAGTTTTAGTGGGAAATGAGGGGGAGAAGCCTGGGGATAGGTGGTTGAAGCATGAATGGGAAGTAAGCTGACACAGTGAATGAAGACCATTCTTTGGAATGAAGTGGAAAAGAATGAGCAATAATTAGCATTACTGAAGATTATTTTTTTGCTGGGGGAAATGTTTTTAGGCTGAGGTTGAATCAGTGGAGGAAAAGAGGCTGAAAAAGTACGAAAAAAACTTACACATTGTCAACAATGAGCACATTATAATGACTAAAATTTATTTTAATGAAAAAATGTATTTAAGAGAGGAGAGATTTATGGAACAGGGTCCTGGAGGAGATGGGAGAGAATGGGGTTCAGACTGCAGAGGAGATGAAGAGGGATAAGCGGAGATGAATTTGTTGTTGAGTTGAGCCTGAGGGTTTTGCTCATCTTTGCAGGGTTTGGTGAGAAGGCGTAGGGAGCTTGAGAAGAGTCCTGAGAGTTGAAACGCCACTGAGGGAATGGAAGATGTTGCTGATTAAAGGCAAGGAATAGGAATAGGATGGTTGCATCTGATTAAAGAATACATCTGATATCAGTTTGCACAGTGGGTCAAGGCTAGAGTTAAGAAGCTGAATTGGGGGTTTAATAGCAGAGAATGATGTGTAGTGAGTAATGGATAGACTAAGAACTGAAGTAGTGATTGAATTGGAAAACAAGCTTAGAATTTTTGAGGAAGAGAGAAATGGAAGAATTAGTTCTAATTATAAAAGAGGATATTGGAGTTAAGATTTTCAGAGATAAAAAATTTTTTAGACATTCATGATGTCCAAGAGAGTGGTTTAGTGAAATAGTGTTCATAAGACTCTGGAGTGCTAAGTTTATATTTTATTTTGAAATTGATGAGAAATCAAGGAAGAGACATAGTAATATTAACTTTTCAGAAACTTTCTTCTGATGATAGTGTGAATAATGGATTAAAGAGGGGCAATACTGGAAGCAATTAGACATGTTAAATTCACTGTGAAGCACTTTTGCATCCAACTGAGGGGGAAGCTTTCAAGCCACCAAGTTTTCAGCCACATGTTTTCTACTCTCTCAATTGAACTCAGTTAATTGACCCAATCTATCTTAATTATCTGCTCCTGAAAAGATCACAGCCCCTCAGCTGTGTTTTGCCCACATCATCATCTTTATTAAATGTAATTAGAACCCTCTCTTCTGGGTTAACCTCAGGAAGAACCAGCTCCTTGATATTTTCATGCCATTGAAATTGTGGCGCCAGATATGGCCACAGTGGATAGAAACAGTATAACTTTTCTGCTTACCTTTCACTACATTTTTGAGAAGGTCTGAAAATTTTTCATAAAACTCTCAGGGATGTAGTTTTCAGTTTCTGTGACCTTTGTCTTTCTGAAATGGGAGAGGTTCCCTTGTCCCCCTCACAGGGCGTGCATTGGGGGTGTGGCTCGCTTCTTCAGTGCCCCGCTGCTCAGACCTCTAGAGAAGCATACAGACCGGCAGGCTGTGGGGCTCCGACCCCTTGACAGAGTCTGGGGGTGAATGTTTACAGCTCCTGAAGCCCCAGTGGGTGTGTGTTACAGGATGCTCTTTCAGTTTGCCTTTAGGGGGCTTGTGTTAACCAGCTCAATTAGACCCTCTACCTTGTCGCACAGACAGCGAGCTTTCTGTATCCTGGGTTCTTGCCTTGGTGTACCAGAAGAATTGGATCACACGTGGGCTTGGAGAATGAGTGCAAAGTTTTATTGAGTGGAAGTAGCCCTCAGCAGATGAGGGACCCAGAAGGGAAATGGTTTTCCTCTGGAGTTAGGCCGCTTGGCGGCCCGGGCTCTTTTCCGACTGCCCAGGCCAACCTCCGCATCGTTCTGCCCGTGAATGGCCTGCGGATGTGCCAGCGAGCTCCTCTTCTTCCACCCTTATGCTCCTCTGGACGTCTGGCTGCCTGTGTACCTGCCTGCTAGGGTCTGGGGTTTTCATAGGCACAGTATGGGGGAGTGGCAGGCCAGGGTGGTCTTGGGAAATGCAACATTTGGGCTGGAAGGCAGGAGTGTCAGTCCTCACCTAGGTCGGTGGGCGTGGAGCCCTAGCAAGGGACCACACACTCCTCTACCCAGCACTTCACTTCGCCCATCCCTATCATTTAAAGGGACCACGCTCTTCCCTTCCCAGCACTCCCCTATCATTTCTACACTGTAAATTTTTTTTGTTTATATTTGTCTCATCTATCAGGTTGTGAATTCCTTCACATTAACTTGCATGGAATTCATCTTGTTATAATGTGGTACCTAAAAATCCTAGTACTCTGGTTCAAAAATATATGTTTAACAAATGTTCAGTGAAAGCGAATGAATGAATGAACGATGACTCCCACACACGGAGGAACCCTGTCCTCCTGTAAGGTACATGATTTGAAGGTCCCAACAAGTCTATCTTGGAACAGGCCCAGTTGCGATGCCCATACAGTTCTCGGACTAACAAAAAGTGTCACACCATCCAGATATGCTTAATTTGGAAGCAGCTGTAAGCAGACTCCCGGCCAGCTCAAGTTTCCTCACCTGGGAAGAGGCGGGAGGCTGTTTACCGTACGGAAGCATAGCGGCCGCCTGCCTGAGTTCGGGAGCGCGGGTTCCTTTCCGGGAAAGAAGCCTAGGCCGTTTTCCGTACAGCAGCATGGCGGCCGCCGACGGGAGGCGGTCATAGCATCACGCCCGGGGGAAGAGGCCGCCGTAAAGGAAGCTCTGCTTCCTCTTCTTCCTTCTCCCGCCTCCCACCGGCTGTCGTAAAACGGTGAATGGAGAGCGAGTTGTGGGGGGGAAAAAGGGAGGACAGGGGGCGCGGAGTCAGAGTGGCGCAGCAAGTGGCCGCAGGTGGCGACGGTGGCGGGGGGTGGGGTGTGAGGTAATCCAGGGGTCGCGGAAGAGGAGGCTGAGAGGGTCAAAAGAAAACTAAAGCTGCAGTCCGGCCTACTGTTCCGGGGGCCGCGGAGCCCCCACCCGGGGAGATGGACCTCAACCGGATCATCCAGGCGCTGAAGGGCACCATCGACCCGAAGTTGCGGATTGCAGCCGAGAACGAGCTCAACCAGGTGAGGAGAGGGTCTTCGGCGACCCTCTTCCGCCGAAGGGGCGCCCCTGCCGGCTGGCCGGGCTCCCTCTCCCCGGCGCCCCTCGTCCTCACCCCCACCGGGCTGGGGCTGACGCCTCACGGCTGGTCCCGCTCTCCGACCCCGCTGCCCCCCGGTCCAGTGGAGCAGGGCTCCCAGGATCTTTGCCGAACAGCTCGCGCACCTGTTGGCCACCTTTGCACCTTTTCGTGTCGTCTCCCTTCTCCAGGGCAGTTTGTTCTGCCTACTTGGTCCGCAAGAAGCAGTTTTTGCAACCTGTGCTAGTGTTTTCAGGGTGTGATTTATTTTCCTTAAGTGCGCGGACTTGGGGAGCAGGTGGGAATTTTACTTACAGTTCAAATCTGAGTTCAGCTTTTTTCCAAACCCAGCCCTTTTTAGGTGTTGCTGTGGAGCACGCTGCCCACCGCCTCCTCCTGTCGGGTTGGCAGGACTGTTTTGACACCGATTGGCCGAGTTTTGCGGAGCGCTGGGCAGTGCTGTTGGGAGAGTGCTCTGGGAAGAATAGGCAGTTTTCATGGTGATACTGCTTTATCTAAGACACATCAAAGTAAGATGTGTTGGAGAAATTTCTTATGAATGCTAAAATGTGTAAGACTTCTTTCTTTTCTCCGTCTCCTGTTCTTCCTAATTAGCCTTGACGTCTTTCCAGCGTTACCCCCACACTTCAAAATTTTAATGATCCCAAACTCCAGCTTATTTCTTCTTCCCTACCGGTACTTAAGAATCACAGACCTCTTACTAAAAAGTAGGGATTAAGAGCTACCACTGGGATGGAGCAACAGCTGTTTTAGGTTGTGATGACTTGTAAAATGTAAATATTCCAAAATCAGCTGTTCTCAAAGCGTTGCCCAGGACCTGGAGCTTCAGCATCACCTGAGAACTTACAAATTATGCAAATTACGGGGCTTCAGTCCAGACTTAACGAATCAGAAACTGTGGGGGTGGGACCAGTTGTATTTTAACTAGCTCCCCCAGGTGATTCTGTGCCTCCCGAAGTGTGACTGAAGTGTGACTGTCCTAAGTAAATGTTTCTGTTGGAATTGACTTTAAAAAGCTGCGTGTTGGGAATCTTTGAAAGGGATTATTTTAATAGGAAACCTAGGTGGAGTTTGGAGTAGGTATAAATGCAGGATTCCCCAGAGATAAAAGGGAGAGTGAAGACACTGCCAATGGAGAGGAGGTTGGGTTGAACTAATGCCCAAAGATAATGCACTGGTGCCTGAAAAAGAAATGGACTGTCACTTAGAATAGGGGGAAGTTAAAGTCAGTACCTGTCCCAGGCTTTGCAGAGTAAAAGTACTGTATGTTGGCTGGCTGGAAGAATAGTAATCCAGGGGTTAGTTAGGAAGAACAAAGCAGGAGCTGAATTTGCAGTCTACTAATATGAACAGGGGAGTTGGCCTGTTTATGACCCCCTTCTCACAATGAGGCCAGGTGTTCCTTTGATATCAGGTTACACTTCCCTGCCCTTCACCTAACCTTCATTTCTTTCTGATTCATCAGTATATAAGTACAGTTGATGTTATAGAAGTGGAAAAAGTATATGAGAAAGCCTGCAGAACTAGGAGACATTTAAGACCCAATCCTATTTTTTTTCCCATGGTATTTCAGACAAAAGCAGGCACGTTCAGGGTGGTATGGCCGTAGACTCTTGATGGTAGTTCAATCCAAATCCATTCCATCATCACTCTGCCCTGCCCCATAGTGTCCCACCTCATCACAGACCGTGGTTTCCCCAGCAATTTCTAAAGGTAGCTTATTGCTATACCACTCATTTAGCATTTATAATTTATATAAAGCATAGTGAAATGCTTTAAGGTTTTTTGAATTGGCTGTAAATAGAACAAAATATAATGTCACCTAACAGTGTAGTAAAACATGCTTATGATGATGGGTTTTGCCTGCTTGTCCTTTGCCACCACTGTAACATCCGACTTTGTTGGATAAATGAGTGGGTAAATCACCATAAGTGGTTATGGTCCACCTCTTCGACTTTAGTCTAGGTCTCCCCTCAGCAAGTATGTTCTGCATAGGGAATGGGAGCAGCTTCTGCGGTATACTGATGGATCTGTCAATTGCCGTTTAGAAAAATAAGCAGCTTCTGCACCACAGCCTATATTCCAATGGATAAATTCTCATTTGGAGCTATATATTTTTTTCAGGCCAGCATTTTTCTGTTACTAGTGAGTAGTTTTCTGACTGCTATTTGTGATATTGTTTCTGTGGGAAAATGTATTTGTAGTTTTATCTCAGGATATTGAGCGAACCCTATACATCTTCCTCATTTTCTATAGACCAGAAGTCCCATTAGAGGCAGCATAGAGGAATAGGAATGGGTAGGTACCTTGCTTAAGTAATTCATCCAGAAAGGTGTCCTCTTTTAATAAATTATCCTTCACATGGCCTCGGTAGGGAAATAAGTTTTTACTTTGATTGCCAAGCTTTTGAATCTCTGCTTTCCATGCATGTGTACATGCAATTTTCATTACCCTTTATTAAGATAATTTGTTTATGTAAATAGCACAGAAATATTTATTAAGTTACTATGTTGCAGATATTGGTATAAGAGTTTGTTTCCATGGAGCTGGGGATACAGGCAAGTAACTAATATAATTTCAGGTCATAAGTGCTGTGGAGAGTAAAGCCCGAGCAAGAGTGTTGGGATGTATAGCCATTCTCTGAAGAATGGCATTGAGTAGAGAGTTGGATGTTGTGAAGGAATGGGCCAGGCAAAGAGCAGAGAGAGGAACAACAGTTCAGAAAAGGCCCTCAACTTGGCGTGCTGGAGGACTGAGAGGGAATATCGGTTCAGAAAAGGCCCTCAACTTGGCATGCTGGAGGACTAGAAAGGTTAATGCAGCGGAGCAGTGAGTCAGAGGATGGGAGGAGACATCAGTTTTTTGCTTTATGAGTTCTCATAAATGCAGAATTTAGTTAAGCAAACTGCGTATTTGCAGAAAACTTCACAGATACAAAATATCCTCAGGAAATCATTGAGAAATTAGTCTTATTTATTTTTTAGAAACTCGAAGCCTGAAGAGGCACAAAGAAATTGAGTAACTATTTCTGAGTAAAGTAGTATGAAAATATATCTGACTATATCTCTGAATGTTTTAGCTGGCCAAGTTAATATAGAATGAATCAATGCTGAAAGAAGACAAGGTTTCTGAAATTTTTTAAAATGGCAAACAGTTGCAAAAAGAGGAGTTTCAAAATCTGTACAATGGCAACAGTGTTGACATAAAAGTCTCTGCAATAGGTATATTACTTTCAAATAAGTAGCATTTATTTAAGTGTAAAGGTTATTTTGTATGTGTGGAATAAGATTTTTAAACAAATAACGGAAGTCAGTTTTTTTATGATTAGAATAAACTATATAGATGTTTTAATCTTTGATTCATGACAAGATCTTTCAGTATTTACAAAGATAAACATGAGTTATAATACATATGTAGAAGGTGAAGGCTGGGTGAATCTGTGTTAATTTTGCCTCCTATCAACGGTTGTTAGAACAAATCTGTTTTCTTAAAAACTGCTTTGAAATTCTGATGGTTTCAATTATGGATAAAAAAGAATTTACATGCCACAGATTTGTGATCTGAAGACTACACAGGATGAAAGGAAGAAAATTATAATTCAAAATTTTGTGAAGGATATAGAAAGATTGGGAAAGCACAATGTTCTTGGATGAAAAAGATTAATATTTTTAAAATGCCAGTTGTGTCCAAATTAATTTTTTAATCAAACACTTACCTTCATAGATGTGATTTTAATTTAAAAAAATGAATAATATGCCCAAACCTAGCTGTGTATTGAAAGGGATGCCCCCACAGATCCAGGCTCTGAGGAGAGGGGTGAGCTGAACAGACTCTCTGGGTCATTGTCTGGTTTGGCCTCACTGGAATTTGAGTCTTTTCAAATGAATGTCAGTGGACAAAGGCATATGTGGACTCTGGAATGTGACAGGACTGTAATATAGTCCAGGTACTGTACATCTGGATATAACGTGATCAGAAGGAGTGGATGCTCTGTATTTTTTTGCTTTGAAGGTCCCCATCGCCAAACTCAGGAGCAGATCATAGTAGAGCACACCTGTGGGGTGAAGTGACCCAGGCCACAGGGCAGAGCAGGAGCTTCATCCCCACAGGCTCACTTAGGCATTAAGTGTAAAAGATAGTACAGCAGTAGAGGGCAGCTGGTGATGACAGTGTGCTCAACCCCATCTCGTGAGTCACACTGTTCCAATCTGGACTGGCTTCTCTCCATTGCTCACGCTCAACTTTGTAACATTATCTTCTCTGTTTTGCTCTGTTGGGTCTCCTATTTCCTGTAGCCTTTGTTTTTTTGTTTTCTGTTTGTCAAAAATACCATAAACAAAATTGAAGCACAAATAATCTAGGAAGAAATACTTGCCATGTATAGGTCAAATAAAAGATTGAGATTTTAAATTCATAAATAGCTCTTAGAATTTATTAAGAATAAAGCAAATACTCCATTTACAAAAGGATAAAGGGAGTAAGGAATTTGTAGAAAAAACAGCCAACAAAGAGGAAAACACCCAACCTCCTTAGTAATAGAGAAAATGCAATTTAAAACATTAATAAAATTTTAAAGTTTCAAAGGAATGATGATACCTGTATTAGATAGATGGACACTACCATATGCTGCTGTTGGGAGTGTAAATTGGTATACTACTTCTGGAGACCATTCTGACAATATGTTAAAAAAAATCATAAAAATGTTCACATTCTTTTATTCATCAGTTTCTGCTCAGGAAATTTTTTTGACTTGAAGTATTTTAGTAATCTTCATTTTGCCTTGAAGGGTTTGTCTCAGTTTAAAAGTTTTTCTTTTATTTGGACAGTAATGTATTCAGTAACCGGTGCTAACTTATAAGCTACTCACTTATATTGCCCTATTTTATAAAACATTTCTTTGTAATTTCAGTCCTACAAGATTATCAATTTTGCCCCCAGTTTACTTCGGATTATAGTCTCTGACCATGTGGAATTCCCAGTACGACAGGCAGGTGAGTTGGTTTTTTATCCTTTATAAATTTATTTATAGGTGAGAGTAGAATGAGAGTTTTATTTTAATTTTACATATCTGTAATTTATTGAAAAATTCAGAAGCACTAGCACTCATGAAGTATTTCCAGTGACTTCAAAACTCACTTTCTTTTTCCCCAGAAATTTAGAGGTAGATACTGAGCTCTCAAATATCTTCTAGCTCTTTTTTTTCCTCCTCTCCCTTTTACCCACCAATTCCTTGCCTCTGTAACTTTGCCCTTATTTTTCTCAATTTTAATAGCTGATCTCTCTAACGTTTTATGATTTCTGGTAGCCTAGCCTCTGGGCCCATAGATTAAGACCATGAATTTATATATGTGAATTCGAGCTCTGTTACGTGGCAAATCATGGAGGTAATGTGTTGCACAGATGTTCCTAACCCAGGTGACTGCGGAGCAGGACTATGTTTTAAACATGAAACTTACTTTTAAGTCTGTGGGATCTTACGTTGTTTCATGATGTTGTACATCGTTCTTTTATCTTGTTTTTTTATGGACTGGTCATTAGAGCCCAGAAGGTTAAAAATTAGAGCCTTAGAGTATCATGAATTTTCAAAAGATAATAATCAAAAGCTAAAGGAGGTAAACGACAATAGCTAATTAAAAATAAGTATTTAAAAAGACTTGTTATGTAAGTGACATATACATGTAAGTAATTTGGACAATTTAGAAGAATACAAAGAAGGAAGTAAAACTACCCAACATTCATCACTCAGAAATGGCCATCATTACTCATCATTAACGTTAGGTGAACATTAGCCTTTCCATGTGTTCACGTAGAAGGATAGATGAACAGTTTCAGAGAAATGGGTCATAATCTACATGCTGATGAAAGTATTTAATTTGATTTGAACATAGAATAAAAAGATAAAGAAATATTAAGCTTTGGGAAGATTTATAACACTATATATGATTTCCTGAAAGATCACTTTGTGGTTAAGATAAAAAAGAAAATCCTATGGAAAAACACTGATGTTGGAATTATTTTTTGCTTTTATAAGGTTTACAAGACTTCTGTGTAAATTTTTGAAACCACAATTGGCACTTGTTTCATCTTTGTTTTATAAAATAGGGCTGTTCTGGAATAACATTTTGTTGAATGGAACCTATTTTAAAAACCTAAGTGTTTATAGGGCCATTGTAAAGTTCCTATGAAGCATTTAAGAAATAACATTTTAAAAGATCTTAAAACAAGTTTTTACATTAATGTCTTCCTTTAATGACATGGAAACATTAGAAAAACACAGTTTATAACTTACATTGTTCTTAATACACCCAAAGATGACTGCCATCAGCTTTGATGCGTGGCTCTCCAATTCTTTTTTTTATATTACACATGCTATTTTACAGTTTCCTTTTTTTCATTTAACCATGTACCCTTGAAGATTGCTCCAAGTCAGTGCATATAGATACTTCATTCTTTATAACAGCTGTGCAGTATTTCTTTATATAAGAATTACCATGGTTTACTTAAACGATTTGATATTGATGGACATTTCGCTTATTGTCTTTTTTTCATTGTTGATAGAAGCAATGCTAAATGAGTGTCATTTGATATGTATCTAGGTACTTGTGGGAGTGTTTTTATAGAATAAGTTATAACAAGGGGAAATGCTTGGCTAATGGATATTTATGACATTTAGAATTTAGAATCTTCTCACTAAGTTGCTTTTGCTTACATTTTCTACCAACAGTGCATTAGAATGCTAGGTTCCCCAAATCCTCACCAACTCTGTACAACTTAATGAAGTTTTGATGTAAAATGTAAACAGCATTGAAAGGCATTTTTTTCTTCATAATTTGTTTTTTCATAATTTAGATTTCAAATCCTAAATTTAAGTGGTATTTATAAATTTTCTGTTCTGTTTAATCTATTATTAAAATACAAGGATGCTCCAAGACACCTAGAAAGATAATTTATCTTTAGCATGACACTTAAAAAAGAATGTTGTGATTTTTGCTTTAAAAGAAAGCCTGTATAAAGCTGTAAAAAAAAAGTTATGCTAATGTTAAGTGGAAATACATCTGCAAAATACTTTTTCTCTTTTGCTTGTGGGCAATCTAAAGTGTTCTTGCTACCATCAAGCGTGCTCACTGGTGAATGTCCTTTCTTACCTTACTGTGAGTTTTCAAGAAACAGGAAAAAATTAAGTATTTTGATGTTGCCAAGCAAAACAAAAAAATTTGAATGTTTGGTCTGCTGCTTTTCTTTTGAGGTGTTGATAAGCATAATAGCATTATTAATATTATCATGTGCGGTGAAGGAAGCCTATCTTAAATTTAGGATAGTTATGATCTGGAATTTCAAATCACTTTTGTTTCTAATTTTTTACTTCTTACATCTGAAGAGACTCTTTAGTAAAATTTCTCTAATATATGTAAATTTAGGCTCAGAAATGTACTTTTTTCAGTGCATTTTGGAGTTGCTACGAGAAGGAGAGAGTAGTTTGGATTTAAAAGTGGTGGTTGAGAGGTATTAGACCTGAAGAGGTCATCAGTGGTGACAGATGTGGGACTGTCATTTAAAAAAATAGCATGGTTTTTGATTTCTATAAGTTTGCCTGCTCCTTGTTGTTTCTTTTTGTTTGTATTTCCAAAGGATGGACAGGGAGAAGATATAACAATTCATTCTGTGGTTATTTGTTTAGAGGTTATTTGTTAAGATTGACGTCAGCATTGCAGAGTGCAGAACCTAGAAATAAACAGAAAGATGCCTCTGATCAGTCCAGAAGCACTTTAAGAAGCTTTTATTAACATTCATGCATTTTATTTGTAGAAAGCTTTGTGGCTTGTGCTCAGAATCTATTTAATATTGTTTTGATAGAATTGACACATTTGTTGTCTAATCTAGCCTTTCACAGAGTAATAAGGGAGAGAAGGGGTACAAAATTACAATGAAAAACAGCAAGACTTAGAAACATCAACTCAAAAGCATGACATTCTGCCCACCGAGATAACAGTACTTTCTCCACTTTGAGGTTATGAAACCCAATTGATTCTGTAGTTGTGTCTCTGGGTCCAGAGCTTAAGTGATGATTCATTGTGCTGAAGGAGAAAAGTGTGTGTGTGTTTTTAGAAAGTTAATTTCAACTTATGATGCTTAAAATGGTGAGTGGATTTTGTAGGAAAACTGTCTTAGAGCAGCCATTTTTATCATAGAATCTGAAATACATTTATAAAATTCTACATTATAACTATCCTAAATTTAAGTGCCATTTGTAGATTTTCTGCTCTATTTAATCTATTATTAAAATACAAGGATGCTCTAAGACACCCAGACAGATACAGTAAATTTAATATTTCCTTTATGAATTGGATTAACATGATATTAGTCCTTTGTTTCTTAGTTCTGGCAAATGGTTTGTATTTAGGCACTTGAATTAAATGATTAAAGGGAAGTTTTCAGATTATTGGTTGATATGGTAACAGTTATCTTTGGTATTTTTCCTTTATCCTTAGTAATCCATAATTATCCATCATAGTAATTAAAATTTTCTTTTTAATATATTTTCAATTTTATTTTACCTCATTGTACATTTATTTAGGCATATACAAATTAGTCAGTGTGCCTTTTTTAAAGGCTGTCTCGTTTGATGCACCATAATTTTTAAATTATAACTTTTCATTTATAAAATTAATATTAATAGTATTTAATGACTAAATCATAAATAAGTCCATGATTTTACCGTGTCTGTATTTTTACTGTCTAAAGGTTGCTTTTCTTTGTTTTCAAGACTAGTTCTATAGGGATCAAAATGATTTTGTGACTAATATAGTTGATTTTTCTTTTTGCAAAGATTGATCCTGTGAAATCAGGCTGGGTGTTCATGCCTGTAATCCCAGCACTTTGGGAGGCTGAGGTGGGTGGATCACTTGAGCCCAGGAGTTCAAGACCAGCCTGGGCAGTATGGCGAAACCCTGTCTCTACAAAAATACAAAAAAATTAACTGGCGTGGTGGTGCACGCCTGTATTCCCAACTACTTGAGAGACTGAGGTGGGAGGATCACCTAAGCCCTGGAGGTGGAGGCTGCAGTGAGCTGTGATTGTGCCCCTGGACTCCAGCCTGGGCGATAGAGTGAGACCCTGTCTCAAAAAAACCCCTAAATCCTGTGAAATCAGTCTGAACTGCTGACAGGTTGGTTCATATCCTTAGATCATTCATTCATTATTTTTTGAATAGTCTATACATTTTTATGGAATGTGTACTCTTTGCCAGTCACTGTTACATAATATAATGACTATACCCGATAAAACATGGTACCTAGTCTAGAGCTTGTGTGGTCTGAATTAAAAACAAGTAAGGGAAAAAAGAAAACTCTAACACACATCCCCCTTTATATAATTTTTGTTTTCACCCAAATGAATTGAAATCATAGATGGAACAGTTTTTCAGAACTTTAGCTACTCAAAACTAATGAAAGAGGAGCTTACCAGATGTCAAGTTCATAATTTCACTAAATTTCTTTTAAGTTTTAGCTAATGTAGAATGTATTGGTGTATTCTTTATGGTATAGTGCTTTGACTACCCAATTTAGTTTTTTTTTTTTTTTTTTTTGACAGAGTCTTGCTCTGTTGCCCTGGCTGCAGTGCTGTGGCATGATCTCAGCTCACTGCAACCTCCGCCTCCTGGGTTCAAGGAATTTGCTGGAATTACAGGTACCTGCCACCATGCTTGGCTAATTTTGGTATTTTTAGTAGAGACGGGGTTTCACCATGTTGGCCAGGGTGGTCTCGAACTCCTGACCTCAGGTGATCCGCCCGCCTCGGCCTCCCAAAGTGCTGGGATTACAGGTGTGAGTCACTGCTCCGGGTCATGAATTTAGTTATATGTTAAAAGTTGGGTGAAGAAAGAGTTGGGTGGGGAAAGAAGAGAAGCTTAAGGGAAGAAAGTTATGCTGCTTTGCAAATCACGTATCTGTATTCTTTACACACACACACACACACACACACACACAACATTATAAGTATTTACTTACATTCACTGTTCAACTGGGATGGTTAGAAAGCTTTACATTCTGGCCAGGTGCAGTGGCTCACACCTGTAATCCTAGCACTTTGGGAGGCCGAGGCAGGCAGATCACCTGAGGTCAGGTGTTCGAGACCAACCTGGCCAACATGGTGAAATCTTGTCTAACTAAAAATACAAAAATTAGCTGGGTGTGGTGGCACATGCCTGTAATCCCAGGTATTTGGGAGGCTGAGGCAGGATAATCGTTTGAACCCGGGAGACAGAGGTTGCAGTGAGCCAAGATCTTGCCACTGCACTCTAGCCTGGATGACAGAGAAAGATTCCGTCTCAAAAAAAAAAAAAAGAAAAGAAAAGCTTCACATTCTTTCTTAAAATGCTGTAGCAATATGTCAGCCTGTTTCTTTCAGAAGCCTTTTGTTAAAGGTTGAAGACGATTAAAAAGAACAGAACAAAATCAGATTATGTATTTTGATAGATGTGAACATATAAAAATTTTCTGAGCTTTTTTCCAAAAATTTTTGATGGCTGATGTTCATTTCCCTATTATATTTACAAGTAGTACATATTTCAAAAAGGTTGGATGAAAATTACCAATACTATAAAAAGAAGAGATACCCCAAAATGCTAGTGTTTGACAGTAGCCAGTGGGAAAACAAAAAACAAAAAAAGCCATCTTCATGAAGGAAAGTAGAACTTTACCTGTTGTCACCTCAGAATTAGGCATTGCGAAAAGTATGATTTTATGATCTCAAAGTATGTTTACTATGCATTATTTCTAGATAATTTTCCTGTCCTGTAAGCTCTGGGTCTTGACTTAATGAAATGTTTTCTGCTTAGACTAGCTGAAGTGAAACCTTTAAATTCTTATCCACTTTCCCTTCCTGATTTGGCTGTTTATACCTGTAAGAGTATCCATTTTTGCTGGGTTTCATGTTTAACATTGAAGGGTTTGGACTTTCATGCTCTGTAAGGCTGAATTAAAGCCATCCTTTTTGGTACTGCTACATTAGCATTTTTTCTCAAACTCAGCTGCCATTTACCTGAAGAACATGGTGACACAATACTGGCCAGATCGAGAACCTCCACCAGGAGAAGCAATATTTCCATTCAACATTCACGAAAACGATCGCCAGCAAATACGTGATAACATTGTGGAAGGAATAATTCGGTCTCCAGATTTAGTGAGGTATGTGGTGCTATATATTTGTGATTACTAGAAAGCATGAAATGGTTAGATCTGAGGGTGGGTGCTGTTGGATCTAATCCTTGGCCTCATGTTTCATTTTCTAAAGAGGTAAAGTAATAAAGAGGGACACTCAAAGAATATTATTTTACTTAGTGGTCTTTGCATTTGTAATTCTTTGCCTCAAGATATTTTGGAAAAGATTTTGTTGTCGTATGTTGCCACAAAAAGAGGTAAGATTTAAAAAAAATGATACTTAACCAAAACAATTGTGTAAGTCTTGCTACTTAAATGACCTTTATTCTTAGTAATGATCTCTTGAGTTTTTTTACTACCTGCTTTTCTTTTCTTTGATACAGAGAGACTGATTCTGGGAATTTTTACCTACTACCTGTCTTAATCTTTCCCTGTATTTTTATTCACATTTATGAATTGAGCATGTTTTCCTTCAGAGAAGACAGGATAGAGTAGGTATAAACTAGAAGAACTGTCTCCAGTTTTTTACAGTCATAGATTAGATGCTGTAGAGCAGTAGTGTCCCTCAGAACTTTCTGCAGTGACAGTGTTCTGTGTCAGTGCTATCTAATATTAGCCACAAGGCATCAATGACTGTTGAGCACTTGAAATGTTGCTAGTTGTAACTGAGGAACTGAATTTTTAATTCTATTTACTTTTGATTCATTTAAAGTGTGCATATTTAACTAGCAGCTGCTCTATTGGACAGAGCAGCTGTAAAGTCATAAAAATTTTGCAATCTTAAAATAGGAGAAACAAATTCTTTTCAACATACAAGATAGTAATTAGGTATCTTTTGAAAATGGGAGGGACAAATAGGTGAAAACAGAGGTAGAGGAATGAAATTTTTTAATATCAAGAGGTTGAATATAACGTTAGCCCTTAGTATCTAATAGCCATCATGACATAAGCAGTGGAAAAGGAAGGAAGTACGACGGGTAACAGGAAGGAGAACAAACATTGAACTCTTAGAGCAATTAATTTGTTAAGAGGAGAAAATAGGTGTACTGGTTAAAAAGAAAAAATCACTATTATTCTTATTGGTTGCCCAAATGCCAGTCATGGGACTGATACCCCTGTGGTACCATCATGTATCCATTTATTTTCAAAATCTTAAATTTTCAGATCTCCCTTAATCTTCGAGTGGTTCTACACAGTAATGCATGAAGGATGGCCTTTCATAACCATCCTTTGCTTGGAATGAGAAAGGACTGGGAGAATCAACCTGAAGATGAAATTTTAAAAAATGAAAAGCTTCAGTTTTATTTTTTACAAATATGACATTTATTGTTTAAAGGAGCAGCTACTACTGGCACTAAAGGAGATCTTTTATCTTTATTACGGGACGGTTCTCTGTGGCTTTGCTCCTTTTATGTCCTTAAGGCTTAATTATAATCATTGTTGAAATTTCTTCCACCTATTCTCAAAGTTTAAGAGTATTACAAAGGGATTTTTCAAATAGATTTGATAACGTGAAGAAAAGGCATCATTTTGTTTAATTTTACCAGTTTAAGTGAATCTGAGTTACTGGTTGTTCAACTGAAAATGCTTTATTTTTTTTTTAGTTGCCCTGTGGAATCCTAATTTTGCCAAGTTTGTTTTCTAACCATTTGAAAATGTCATGTAAGGTCATATTTGGTGATAACATTGAATTGATAGTTTATAGAAAAGAAATTTTTCCCCCTATTTTCTTTTCAGTTCCAGTTAAAGTTGAAATCTCATTGAGGAAATGATTACTTATCTATGTTATCAGATAACTTATTTTAGCATTTAACTTTGTGGTTTTATTAAAGGAATATTTTCTTTTTCTGTTTTATGTCTCTTCTGTTGCCTTTTTCATTTATTTCTTTGGAAATAGCTCTTAGCTCTCCTCTTCAGGAATTGCCTCGCTAATAATACATGTTTCTTTCTTATACTTGGGGTACAAAAATTAGTATCTCAGACTGCTTTGGATAGATTCAACATACGATGTTGGGTTTTAATTGATAATGGATGAGTTCAAGGTTTTGGCCCATAGAGAAGCTTCCCACCATTATGTAGGCCTTCTTTGTACTTACTTGTACCATCTTTAGACTAGGTTTATCTGTTTGAAGTGTTATTTTTTCCCCCATTCAGGATATGGTAACCAAAATATGAGATATAATAAGCTGGAAATTTTACAGAGTGGAGGTAGATTCATTGGAGTTTTTTGAAAATTTTAAACTATTTAAAACAATTTTTTTAAACTGTATTTAGGATAAGATAGTTTGAAAGGTTTCATTCATTTTAGAAACTCACCCATTCTGTTTATTTTCAACAAGTTGAGCCACTGAGGATGTTTTTTAGATATGTCTTTTTCCCCTACCCCACATATGTAAGTATATAATACACGTAAATAGAAGATAACAAACTTTTATGTAAAATATTAGAGGTCTTTGAAACACAGTATTTATAATTACTTAGATTTTGGACTTTTCTTCCCTACTTTGTAGAGTCCAATTAACAATGTGTCTCCGTGCCATCATAAAACATGATTTTCCTGGTCACTGGCCAGGAGTGGTCGACAAGATAGACTATTACTTGCAATCACAGAGCAGTGCAAGCTGGCTTGGCAGTTTATTATGCCTGTATCAACTGGTGAAGACATATGAGTAAGTTGGTTTCCATTGGCTGAAGAAAGCAGCCTTGTGTAACTTAGAAATAATGAAGTTGCAAAGAGTGGTCTGTTGTGGATGTTCTGCACAGGTTATCAGATTAGTTTGGGAAATGTTGGGTTAAACATGCTTAAATGTGTTTATTTGCTGCAGTTATTGAAAGAAACTTTAATGTGCTGATGGATATTGCTAACCTCTGAGACAGTGATATAATATGAAGCACTTCTCAAACTTGTTAGTTGCACAGTACCATTTATTAACAGCTTTCCTTGGAAACTCTGATATAGAGATACCTTTATATTTGTCTTCTAGGGAGTATATTAAGTAAACCAAAACATTTACTTTTTTGGATGCAAGATAGAAAATGTTAACGTTTCTTTGCTAATGACATTCTTTTCCATAAAAGTAGCTTGGGTAGGTAGAGGACTAATATCACACTTAATAGTATTGCTTTCTGGTTTCTAGGAAGATTGCTACATGTGTATATGAAGTCCTGTAGTTCTCCTTTTAAACTGACTAGTTCCTACTCTGCTTATGAAATTTATAGAACATATTTTAGATTTATGGCAATTAAAGCAATCTAAGAGCACCTAAATTTTAAACTATTTTAACTACTCAATTCAGGGAGAAATATAATAAGAAAATTCCCCCCATATTATTTGTTATATAGTCTATTTAAAATAGCATAGCAACTTATATTTTATAGTAAGAATTTTGGCTGGATGAAAATTAATTTAAATACTAGAAACATTCATGTAGGAAAACTGCAAAATGGTCTCGGGTTGTTTTAAACTAGTCTAAATCTTTCCAGAAAGATTTTAGGTGTTGTGCCTAAAACAGGATGTGTTATTTTAAATTTCTTTTCAACTTAATTCTAGCAATTCAAACAAACTAGAAGCCAATGTTAATGACTTTGTTTTGTTAGTTTTATGTATTTAAAAAATATTTTATAATTTATTGTTGATGGTTCTTTGGGTGGGAAAAATTACTTTTCTGTTTTTGTCTTTGCTCATGTAGATATAAGAAAGCAGAAGAGAGAGAACCTCTTATAATAGCAATGCAGATATTCCTGCCTCGTATTCAGCAACAAATTGTTCAGCTCCTTCCTGATTCCTCCTATTATTCTGTATTACTGCAGAAACAAATTCTGAAAATCTTTTATGCACTTGTTCAGGTAGGTTTCTATTGCAGAAAACAAACATGGAGTCCTGTATTTCTGCCTGACACATGGAAAGTGCTCAATAAGTGTCACTTATTATTAAAAATTATTTTGTATTATCCCATATATTTCTTTAAAAAATGCTTATGAGGAACAGGTTCACAGAAATTAATTACCCAAGATCGTCTCAATGGCATATCTGCCCCTAAGTGCTTTTCACTCCAGTGTCTGAAATCATGGGTAAAGCAGAACCAGGGTAGGTAAACCTACCTGCTCTAAAACCTGATTACTCGCAACTATCTGTTCTGTAGCATTCCTGCCTATAGATTAGTTATGATTACAAGAGAAGAAGAAGGAAAAGAAGAAGGAAAAGAAGAAGGAAAAGAAGAAGGGAGTCCCTCTTCTATTGGGAAATCATATTGATGGTAGTTTCTTTGCATTTGACTCAAAGCTAACAGAGGATTTAGGGTTCATTTTCCTTGGTTTAAAATACTGCCTAAAAAAAAAAAATCTGAATGCTATAAGGGATACCAACATGGGAATCCGGAAAGAAATGAGAAGATAGAGATGGAATATGTTTGAAATATAAAAATATTTAACATCAAATCCTTGAAAGATTTGGGTAAATTATTTAGGTCTGATTGGAGGAAGAATAATTGTTTTCAGTCTTAACTGTTTGATGAATGAATTAAACTCTATTACATGCTTTCTAGTTGAATTTGTCGTGAGAAGAGGATGGTTTTGTTGAGCTCAAAAACCATGATAGTTTGGATCCATCCTTGGCTTTTTATTGACTTAGATACTTAAACTATTTCAAAATATTTTACTTTAATAAAGATTTATATTTTTATTAAAGCTTCCCCTTTTAAACTTTTAATAGGGATAGTCTGAGGCAGATATTTTTTTTTTTCCCCCAGAGCAGCCTTTTTGCAGGGAAAGAGAAGAGGGAAGGAGGCAAATGTGAGAAGAGAAGAAACTAGAATACTAGGAAAATATGTTCTCTCACTTGTTTTGAAATAATATTCAGAGGCCAGACTTCCTTTTTCTATTGGCAGAAACAGCTAGAAATTGGGAAGTAAGACAAAGGCTAATGAAATAATTTTTCTAAAGCCTCTACCTCTAATTGGTTTGCTAAGACGACAGAATCTTCATATTTTTCTCAGTCTATACTTGCTAAAAACCTGGAAAACCTCAACATTTTTAACCATTTTGGTAATCTGTTATGTACTAATACATTAATATTCTCCTCTGGGAAGTAGAAATTTAGAAGGCATTAGGAGCCACTATTACAATGCTGACATAAGTAAAAAGCGATAATATGAGAAGGAGCAGACAATTTTGTTTTTAAAAGTATGAGCAGCCGGGTGCAGTGGGTCAGGTCTGTAATCCCAGCACGTTGGGAGGCCAAGGTGGGTGGGTCACCTGAGGTCTGGAGTTCAAGACCAGCCTGGCCAACATGGTGAAACCCCATCTCTAGAAAAATACAAAAATTAGCCAGAAATGATGGCGGGTGCCTCTAATTCCAGCTATTCCAGAGGCTGAGGTGAGAGAATTGCTCAAACCCAGGAGGCGGAGGTTGCAGTGATCTGAGATTGCACCATTGCACTGCAGCCTGGGTGACAGAGCGAGACTCCGCCTCAAATAAAA
Source organism: Homo sapiens (assembly GCF_000001405.40). Taxonomy (NCBI): domain Eukaryota; kingdom Metazoa; phylum Chordata; class Mammalia; order Primates; family Hominidae; genus Homo; species Homo sapiens. The sequence continues at coordinate 30,678,849 of NC_000012.12, read as the reverse complement.
TAAAAGTATGATACAACAGATCTTGTCTAAGTAGCATAATATTTGTACAGGACACTTGGATATTCTATACATAAGCTCAGCCTAACCCTCAGCCTACTTCTCCTCTGTTCCCTATATCAAATCCAAATGGCTTCCAAATGCACTTAGAATAAAGTGCATTTGAAACTTCTTAATATAGCCCATAAAGCCCTTCATCTCCTCACCTTCTTCTCTTATTCCTACCTTTGTACATGTACAGTCATGTGTTACTTAACTTTGGGGATGCATTCTGAGAAAATGCATTGTTAAGTAATTTTTGTCCCTCTGTGAACATTGTAGAGTGTACTTACACAAACCTAGATGCTATAGCCTACTACATACCTAGGCTGTGTGTTGCTCCCTGGCTGCAAACCTGTACATGTTACTGTACCAAATACTGAAAGCAGCTGTAACTCAATGGTAAGTAATAGAAAAGATATGCTAAAAATGCAGTATAAGATATTTTTTAAAAAGCACTCCTGTATAGGGTACTTACCATGAATGGAACTTGCAGGACTGGAAGTTGCTGTGGGTGAGGTAGTAGTGAGTGAATGTGAAGGCCTAGGACGTTAGTCTATGCTTATAAATGTTGAACATTTAGGCTACACTAAATTTATAAAATTTATCTGCAATAATAAATTAACCCTAGCTTAGCTTACTGTAACTTTTTTACTTCATAAACTTTAAATTTTTTTTTTTTTTTTTTTGAGATGGAGTCTCCCTCTGTCGCCCGGGCTGGAGTGCAGTGGCACAATCTCGGCTCACTGCCACCTCCGCCTCCCGGGTTCAAGCAGTTCTCCTGCCTCAGCCTCGATTTACAGGCGCCTGCCACCATGCCTGGCTAATTTTTTGTATTCTTAGTAGAGACGGGGTTTCACTGTTTTGGCCAGGCTGGTCTCAAACTCCTGACCTCATGTTCCGCCTGCCTTGGCCTCCCAAAGTGCTGAGATTACAGGCGTGAGCCACCACGCCTGGCCAAACTTTAAAATTTTTAACTTTTTGACTCTGTTGTACTAACACTTAGTTTAAAATATTAACATGTTGTACAACTGTACAATAATATTTTCTTTATATCCATATTTTAAAAGGTTTTATATTTTAGAATTTTATTTTTTTTCAAACTTTTTCATTAAAAACTAAGACACACACACATTAGCCTAGGCCTATGCAGGGTCAGGATCATCAATATCACTGTCTTCCACTTCTGTATTCTGTCCTGCTGGAGTGTCTTCATTTCAGGGGCAATAACATGCATGGAGCTGTCATCTATGATAACAATGCCTTCTGGAATACTCCTGAAAGACCTACCAGAGGCTGTTTTAGATAACTTAAAAAAAAAAGTAGAAGGAGTACACTCTAATGATGAAAAGTATTGTGTAGTAAAAATATAAACTAGTAGCATAGTTGTCATTACCAGTTACGTACTGTATAAAATTGCTATACTTTATACAGCTGGCAATTCAGTAGGTTTGTTTGCACCAGCATCACCACAAATATTTGAGTAATGCATTGTGCTGTGACTTTAAGATGGTTACTATGTCACTAGGCGATAAGAATCTTTCAGCTGTGTTCTAATCTTATGGGACCATTGTTGTATATGCAGTCTGTCACTGACCGAAACATTTGTTATGTGGTGCATGACTTTATATACATTTTTTCCAGTTAGAGTGTAAGCTTCGTGAGGGCAAAGATTGTCTATCTTATTATGTCTGTAGCATGTAGCATGTTTTGTACTGAATGGATGTGGAGGCAATATCCGTCTTCTGCAACTCACAGTACAGCAGAGGTGAGCCATATATCTGTTTAGTACAAAGTGGACTGTAGTTATTATGCTACAGTGTAGAGGAAAGTAATTTAAAAAAATGTTTCATGAGTGTTTAATGAAATAAATATTTTCATCAAGGTGGTTAAAATGGAAAGTTTGACCCTCAAAGGGGTAAGTCATAAAAATCACTCACTTAGAATCTCATGCTGAATAAATGAGACCTCAGTGGTATTCATTTGTTTTTCCTTTTAAAAAGTAGACCCAAGAAACAACTCATGGCAGGTAGTCTTCTAAATTTAAAAATTTAAGTTCTATATGGTCGTATGAATCTGTTTTAAGTTAGGTTGAACCATACAAGATTGCTATTTTCATTCTCAAATGTTAGCCCTTTCATATATTTTAGCCTTACAATATAGATAAAATTGCTGATTTTTTTGGATGGGAGGAATTACTGTTCATGTTGTTCTTCTCTTTTCCAGTATGCATTGCCTCTTCAGCTAGTGAATAACCAAACCATGACAACATGGATGGAGATCTTCCGAACTATTATCGACAGGACCGTTCCTCCTGTAAGAAAAAGCTTTTCCCAAGAAAAATAGGGGAAACGGGTTTGGAATGTTTGCGGTAGACTGATGCATTATCCCTGACTGCTCTTTGAAAAAATTTACTACTTTAATAAAATAAATTAATAAAATAATTCATAATACCATTTTTAGAAAGCTTAGATAAGCAATTTAAATCCTACCAAAAATGAAAACTGTTTTTAAAACTTTATTTCTTTAGTCTTTTTTTCCTCTGCATCTATATACAACATATTTAATTTATAAAAGTAGTATACGTTGGCTGGGCATGGTGTCTCACACATGTAATCCTAGCACTTTGGGAGGCCAAGCTGGGAGGATCACTTGAGGCCAGGAGTTCAAGACCAATCTATGCAACATAGTGGGACCTTGACTCTACAAAATGTAAAGAAAAAAGAAAAATAGCTAGATGTGGTAGCATGTGCCAGCTACTTGGGAAGCTGAGGTGGGGGGATCACTGGTAGTTTGAGGCTGCAGCAAACTATGCTTGGGGGACAGAGCAAGACCCTATCTCAAAAAAGAAAAAAAACGTATTGATAATATTTTGAAATTCAGTTTTCACTTAAAACTTACAAATATTTTTATGATTATGAATGCTTTTATACTGTCTTTTTTTCTTTTCTTTTCCTTTTTTTTTTTTTTGAGACAGAGTCTCCTTCTGTCACCCAGGCTGGAGTGCAGTGGCATGATCTTGGCTCACTGCAAGCTCCGCCTCCCGGGTTCACACCATCCTCCTGCCTCAGCCTCCTGAGTAGCTGGGACTACAGGTGCTCGCCACCACGCCCGGCTAATTTTTTTTTTGTTTTTTTTGTTTTTTTTTTTAGTAGAGACAGGGTTTCACGGTGTTGGCCAGGATGGTCTCGATCTCCTGACCTCGTGATCCACCCACCTCGGCCTCCCAAAGTGCTGGGATTACAGGCGTGAGCCACCGCGCCTGGCCTATACTGTCATTTTTGTTGAATGTTTTACTTGCTGGATGTTTAGGCTTTAATTTTTTAGTGTTTTAACTCTTAAGAATGTACTTAAATTTTTGTGCACATATATGATTATTTTCTTTGGATAAACTAGAAACATGGAAGGCTTTTCACTAATCTTGCAGAGTGCTCTGCAATAAAGTGTGCCCTCAGTTACACTTTAATAAGCAGTGACTGAGAATGCCTGTTATGGGTACACACTTAATTCTAAGTTTGTCCATTTGATAGGGAAAAGATGTGTTTCATTTTGATCTGCAATAATACTATCTTTAATTTATCACATTAGTTCTTGTATCTATTAAAATTTTAGTTTGTCTTAAAATGTGCAGTATTATTTCTCTTGTCCATATCGTGAGACAAAGTATTTTGACATTTAGCTTACATACATAAATGCACAGAACTTAATGACTAGTTCAGTGAATTTTGACATACACTTGTGTTATCACCCAGATAAAAATGTAGAACCCTTTCATCATCTCAGAGTGTCCTGAAGGAACCATGGTGTTTTGTATTTTGTCCTCTACTTATTTAGGCCTTTTGAAGACAGGAGGTAAATGTGAACAGCAGCATTGTTTAGTTGAAATTTACTTTGCTTATTTAATTCCTGCCTAGCAATCTATAAAGAATTTTCATTTGTATAGCAATCTAACTTCACATTTAATATGACTTAACCTATATCAAGATTTATCTTGCCTTTGTTATTCACATAAATCCTTTTATTATGCAGAACTTTAATCTGGGTAATTTTGTCCTGTTAGGAGACTCTGCACATTGATGAGGATGATAGACCAGAACTGGTATGGTGGAAGTGTAAGAAGTGGGCACTGCATATTGTAGCTCGGCTCTTTGAACGGTAATTATCTGTTTATTACATTGATGATCATACAGCCAGTATCTCAGTATCAGATATGATTATCTGTCTTTAGAGCCACCGAGAGCCAAGAGTCACTCTGTTTAAAGTAGCTTAATTTTAATCATTGGCTTTGAGATCATAATGAAGTGGGTGGTCTTCTCTGGATCTTTTCTATTCTTCTGTGAAAAACTTGGAAAAATAACATTGTTCAGCCCATTGGTAATATCTAAGAATTATGCAAGAAGTTGCATGGTCACTCAACTCCGTAATAATGTCAAATTTAATTTTAAAAGCATTTATTGAAAAAAATCTATGTCAGTTGTAACATTTTAATTTCCAATATTCACCCTTTAGGAGCTCTTGGTTTAGCAAGTGAAAGCTTCTGTCTGAAACTTTACAGTATGGCCCATAGTCTAAGTACAGGTTATCTTGATTTCATTTTGTGGCTTGTGGGAAAAAAAGGCAGTGTTAGTTTTCTGTCCCAGTAGAATCCATCTTTGAATAAGCGACTATATTTAAATTATTAGCAAGCATGCTGTTTGTAAAATTCACGGTATTTGTACATTTTCTCTTTGTATTTTAAGATATGGAAGCCCAGGAAATGTCACAAAAGAATACTTTGAATTTTCTGAATTCTTTTTGAAAACCTATGCAGTGGGCATTCAGCAGGTAATAAACTTATGCTTTTAAAATAGAATAATGGTTACTACTGAAAGTAAAGGCATTTCTGTCTACTGGAAGTAGGTTACAAACATACTAATTCATTACATATTTATAGAGGATGGAAGGACAGTTCTGGGAATGTATTACAGTGCAATTAGTTTTAAAACCAAGTTTCCAGTGCAATTAGTTTTAGAACCAAATGTCCCGAGACAGCCACCACCAGAACTGAATCCTAGACTCTGGACTCAAACCTTTTAAGTTGATAGTGGTGTAGCAGTCACCAGTATTAGATTGGGTTCTTCTATTAATTCTCTGACCTCTTATGAGTTTTTTGATCTTTATTTCTTCACCTCTTTGTTGTAAGTTTTTATTTTAGAAGACTTATATAATATGAATTGGTCTGTATGAAGAGTAGTTGAGCTTACTAGACGTCAAGACTCTTAGCTGAGAACTTAAACATTTCTATGGAAGTTTGGGGACCATTCTATATAGTGAAAATTAGTTCCTGAAACAATCCAAGTTGACATAATGTTTAAAAATTTTAAAAGCTACAAAGGACAAGTGGTCCATGAAAATTGGTTGATCAGTGTTGCCATTTAAATCATATTTTTATGTTTCAATAAAATTTATTAATTATTGACCACTGGCTGTGTCAGGACCATATTGAGGAAGCAAAGACTAATTAGACATAGGGAAAAGCTTTACTGACATAGAAGGTGTTTCTAGATTTTTTTTTTGAGATGGAGTCTCACTCTGTTGCCCAGGCTGGAGTGCAGTGGCACAATCTCGGCTCACTGCAACCTCTGCCTCCTGGGTTCAAGCAATTCTCCTGCCTCAGCCTCCCAAGTAGCTGAGATTAAAGGCACACATCACCACACCTGGCTAATTTTTTATATTTTTGGGTAGAGGTGGGGTTTCACCATGTTGGCCAGGCTGATCTTGAACTCGTGATCTCAAGTGATCCACCCAACTTGGATTCCCAAAGTGCTGGGATTACAGGTGTGAATCACCGTGCCCGGCTCTAGATTTTTTTTTTTTAAATAGCTCTTTATTGTCAGCATTATAATGTTAAGTACTTAGAACCTGTTGTCTTGAGATGGAATACTTCCGTTTATGTGTTATCATTTTGCCTAGTAGAATGCTTTCTAAAAAGTACAATGCAACAGTTCAGGAAAGTTGTAGTTATATAGTTGAATTTCTCACAAGTTATTTTGTTGGCTGGTGAGACAATCTATAGGGAAAATTAGTGAATAAAACCAGGACAATCAGGAAGCTGGTCATCTGTCTTCTGCCCCTCCCAGTGCTGTCCACTAATGTTAAACTCCTTAAAGTATCTTAAAGTTAATTCCCACTTGAAGTGTGGTGAGTCAATTGTTTTTTCAGTGTCATAAACATGTATGTGTGTGTATACATGTATACACATATAAAAATGCCATTATATCCGTGTTATAAACTCTTGGTACCATGGTTATTTAAGGATATATTCCTGATACTTAAAAATGGTTTTCTTATCAGGGACTCTTCTCTCCCCCACTGTTGTGTAGGGAGAGAATCTCCCATTTCCCATCTCCCATCACCCCTACTTTGTATGAGCCACATCTGTATTAGAAAGAATCATGTTCAGTATCATCCATTTCTAGCTTGCATCACAGAAGGGGTTTCTACATGATGACAGGACTTCCGACAAATTTGGTAAACCTGAGTTTTAGGAAACTTGAATAAAATCCATATTCTGAATTTATAATTTCTGTACCTATTTTGAAAGAATGCTTTTTATTTATTCAGCAACTCACTTATAAGCTTGATATGGTGAAGAGCTCTGGAGACCAGGAATTGGAAGGCAACTTACTGTAGTGAAGAAAGTTGCCTAAAGGTCCTTGAGCCAGTTCAGAGGTGCTTTGGCATGGCTTTTTCCTTATAAATAATTTTTTAAATCAGTTTTTAAAAAATCAGTTTTTAAAAAATAACTTCTCAGTTGTGTTGTGTTTACAAATACCTTCTTTTATAATCTGAGATTATAAAAGAAAATTCTCCCATGTTTTCTTTAAGGAATCCTGTGCTATCATTTTTTGTCAGTGTTAAAATAGTTCCCCATCTGAAGTTTATTTTGGTGTGAAGTTGAGGGAGTTAATTTAAATTTTTTCAGGGGGCTAATCAGTTATGCCAATACTATTTTTTGAACAACTTTTCTCTTCTAATTTGAAGAAGTCTTTATGAAATAAAGAAACATCTTTGTGCTGTCTCTTGTTGTATGGAAGTTTTTAATGTTTCTTTAGTCAGATCTGTTATTGTAATTTTTTTTTTTTTTTTTTTTTTTTTTTGAGGCAGAGTCTCGCTCTATCACCCAGGGCTGGAGTGCAGTGGCGCGATCTCGGCTCACTGCAAGCTCCGCCTCCGGGGTTCATGCCATTCTCCTGCCTCAGCCTCCCCAGTAGCTGGGACTACAGGCACCCGCCACCACGCCCGGCTAATTTTTTTGTGTTTTCAGTAGAGACGGGGTTTCACCGTGTTAGCCAGGATGCTCTCGTTCTCCTGACCTCGTGATCCGCCCGCCTCGGCCTCCCAAAGTGCTGGGATTACAGGCTTGAGCCACCGTGCCCGGCTCCTGTTATTGTAATTTTTTAAACAGGAGTTTTAACTTACTTTGAAGAGCTAGCAGTGGAATAGAAATTTAGACTTTGCCTGGAAGTTACAATGAGACACCGTTTAGTTCAATATAACATGGACCTATCTAATAATTAAAGCTGTTTATCTGAGCTTTCTTACAAAACATTGATTTTTCTCCCAAATCTGTTTATTTTTCTATGGATTCTGAATTTTAGGTCATGCCAAAAATGGCACCTCCCCCTTTTAACCTTATAATTGTTTATGTTAGTCTGTATTTTCTGTTTTCTTATAGGTGCTACTAAAAATTTTAGATCAATATAGACAGAAAGAATATGTAGCTCCCCGTGTTCTTCAGCAAGCATTCAACTATCTCAACCAAGGGGTGGTTCATTCTATAACCTGGAAGCAGATGAAGCCACACATACAGGTTAGTGTCAGAGAGCAGCTCTCCAAAATTATTCTCTGGTTAAATTAGGTTTTCTAGACAAAGTTAGTATTACTAATCCTATATTTTACATTTTATATATATACATTTTACCATTAATAATTTCTAATGAGTGAAGTCCTATGTCAGATATAAAGGGCTTAGAAATTTAAGCATTTGAGAAAAGTGAAGCCTTCAAGTTTTATGAGTCGGGAGACCTGGATTCACTTGATCTTGCTTAATCTCATTAAGCCTCATTTTCTCCTCTATTAAGGCACATAGTGTTTTTCTATTCTTATCTAAAAGTTGCTAGGATTAAATGAGGTATTTTGTGAGAAAGTATTTTGAAAACTTACCAGGGCTCTACTAAGGTAGTGTTATTTTGCAGGAATTGAAGACTGATATGTGACCGTTTTATTTTGTAGGTATGAGCAAGGTTTTTATTTATTTTCTTGGATTGTTAAGTTCAATAGCATCATTGTTTCTATATCGTTTGCCTAAAGGTAGAATTCAGTATTGTTATTTAGCTAAAGAACAAATGGGAATGGAAAATTATAGGCCACTAATAAATAAATACTTCCTTGTATACAAATAATTGGATAATTTGACAGTCTTAGGAACTGAATACCTACTCTCTCCCAAACTGTGAATTCTTAAATTTTATAAATGATATCTGAAAAGAAAAATCTTTCACTTTGCTGTTTGCTGTCCAGGATAGAATTTTAGTGTTATTACCCGTCTTACCAACAGATATCTTTTCTTTGATTTATGTAGATATCTTAATAACTATTTGCCTAATCACTTTGATCAAATAGTGATAATTTCTTTGCAATTAATTAATAAAGATACTGATTTCATTTGCTGTGTTCCTGTAAAGTAAGGGTGAGTTGTGATAACATTTCTTCTCTACTTCATACCTTTGGCTTTATTTTTACATAGCTGTAAAGTAGGAATAAGAAAACGCTGATCCTTAGGCTGAATTTTTTCACTTAGAATTATTTAATTTGGAATTAAGTGGTAAGAGATGATCCTGTTTTTATATAAATTGTTGTTAGAGCCTAAAAGGGCTTAATAGGACATTAGTAGCAGTGCACAGAGAGGCTAGTAGATAGGACTTTTCTCTAACTGAAACATTTGTGGAGTAGGAAATTAGTTTTTTTGGGAATAGAAGTAAAGAAAATTCCAATTTTTTTTTTTTGGAGCTGGAGTCTCACTCTGTTGCACAGGCTGGACTGCAGTGGCATGATCATGGCTCACTGCAGCCCTGAGCTCCTAGGCTCAAGAGACCCTCCAAGATGGACGCCACCATGCTTGGCTACGTTTTTATGTATTTTTTTGGAGATGGGGTCTCGCTACAGTGCCCAGGCTGGTCTTGAACTCCTGTCCTCAAGCGATCCTTCTGCCCTTGGGCTTCCAAAGAGGTAGGATTACAGACATGAGTCACCATGCCTGGCCCTTTAATATTGTTAATACATGGACATTTAGGACTAAAATGGAAATGTTAAAAAAAATTTCAAAATAAGAACTATAATAGTAAATATAACCTCGACTTGACATTTTACACACACACAGAGTTTGGAAAACTAACATCATAAAGGCTGTCAACAAGTACATTATTAGTATTCCTCAAACTTGAATAGCCTATACCCATTTGTTACGTTTTTTTTTTTTTCTCATTTTAGAATATCTCTGAAGATGTGATTTTTTCTGTGATGTGTTATAAAGATGAGGATGAAGAGCTGTGGCAAGAAGATCCATATGAGTATATAAGGATGAAATTTGGTAATTGAGATGGTTTTATTTCTCATCAGTTCCTGGATATGTAAAGTAATATAACTAAATTTATATTTTTAAGCAAATGTTATTACTTTATTAAATCTCCCAGGTTCTGTTTTGCATGACATAATCTGAAACTTTGAGAGTTTGATGTTATTTTGTTGAACTAGAGAACTGGAGATTGTCGGATGTGGGAGATGAAAAGCCACCTCATTCATCTCTCTTACGGGTGCTCAAGTTGAGCCATCTGTTACTTATGCTGTTGCGATGCTGATCTGCAGGGACCATCCGTTTTTGTGCCTTTTGGGAGACTCATTTATAGATTGGGTTGTTCTCATGTGGGAAATACTTTGGATTTCTGCATATTTTAGGGGTACCCCAATTTGGTTTGCTTGCTTGTCTGAGAGACTAAGTGTTCCACAAGGGAAATAAATTTCGTATGGGGGCCCTACTGTGTGTGGTCCAATTCTTTGGGTGTCCTTTTAACTTGGATCTTCCTGGAAACTGTTGAATTGTGTAGGTGGCCTGATTTATTCCCTTTTATTCCCAGTTTGTATTAATTGCTTCATGGAACACTCAAGCACTTAACATAGCAAAATATTAATTTGCATACCTATCTCCCACAACTTAGAAGCTTTCTCAGGACAGGAATTTTACCTTATTTGCTTAATTTTGCATTTTCTGTCTCTTCTACACCTCTGCATTCCTCCACTAGTGCTTGGCCTCCAGTATGCCTTCAATACATGTTGAAAGAAATGATTGCTAAATCTAGCGCTGCGTGCTGAAAGTGCTGTAATGAAGCAGTGCTTTCCCCTTAGTTGAGCCAGGTGTGTCTAGCTACGTAAGCTAAACCTACTGGTACAGATGCTAGTTTTTTGGGCTGTGTTTTTACAGAGCTTTGTGTTTATATTATTTGATTCAGTAAGTGAGGATCCTGTTTTCTCTTGGAGACAAAGTATCAGAAAAGCAAATCAATGAGAAACATTTATCATCTGCTTGATTTGTTATTTTTCTTTTGAAAATCATTATTCATATGTGTAACTTATTATTTCCCCTTTCTTATGCCTTTGTTTTTCTAGTTTGCTTTGAGTGATTAGCCAACCATTCTTCTCTCTCTCTCTCTCTCTCTTTTTTTTGTTCCAGTGACTCTCCCACCTCAGCCTCCAAGTAGTTGGGGCCACAGGCATGTGCCACCACACCTGGCTAATTATTTTTTGCAGAGACAGGGTCTCCCTGTATTTCCCAGGCTGGTTTCGAACTCCTGGCTTAAGTGATCCTCTTGCCTTGCAAGGCATTCTTTTAGTGTTTACTTCTTTCATAATACCTATGTGTTTTTGTGATGTACAGAGTATTTGTTTAGCTTTCAGAAAGTTACCATTATTTATATATTCTTCATATCTGATAAGATAGGTATACATACCCTAGTTTTTAGAAAATAAGAACTCTATGTCTGTTGATTAACAGTGGGAATTTACATTTTATTGTTTAAAAGCGGATATGGGTAACTCAAGACTGACTAGCTGAAGTGAGTTTTCTTTAATCGTTTCCTTCTGTAGACTGGAATGCAGTGGCTTTTATTTGATATGTGTATTTTACTTTTGGGTAACCATAGGGAAGAACAATTACTGCATTTTCTTTTTATATGTTTGGCACTTGCAATTATTTACGTGAAACAAAGCATTCCTATCTAAATGTATTGACTGATTAATAATAATGTTTTAGTTTATTCTTTTTATCTACTCTTTAACCAACATCTCCTCACTTCCCCCAATAATGTTTTTTGATTTGGTAAGAACTAACAAGAGCTCAGGCTTTGATGTTAAGATAGCGTGGGTGTGAATGCTGGTTTGGTCACTTACCTGCTGTGTGACTGTGGACAGGTTACTTAACCTCTCTAAAATTCAGTGCTTTCAGCTGTCAAACGGGTGATGATAATAGTGCTGGGAGGATTAAATGGGATAATACACATGAACTAACTGCTTAGCATAGAATACAAGATGCTTCTAAAACTGTAGCATACTGCTTGGCACAGAGTAAGTACAGTACTCCAAAAATGTTCTTATTATGTTTGTATTTTATATTTTGAGGTAGACTTAGATTTGGTTTTATCTTTTGTATTTAAACAAGGACTTATCAGATACCTCTCAAGACTTCAGTTTCTTATGTAAAACTGCCTATTCTGAAACTTGTGAAAATGTTCATGGTATTAAGTGATATGTTAAGTTTTAGATAGGTATATATTCAACAAAACCTGCTGAACTTACGTATCGACAGAGCCAGGCATGGTCCTAGCAGTCCTTCAAGGCTTTTATACTTGCTGTTTCACCTGCTTGGAGTACTTTATCCATGGATTGCTTTCTCCCTCATTTCATTCAATTTCTGCTTAAATGTTACCTTAACAGAGTTGGAGAGGCTTTTGCTAACACCCTATTTAAACTAGCACCCCATACTCTGTCACTCTGTCTCTTTACCCTATTTTACATTTGTTCTTAGCCTGACTTATTATGTGTGTATATATGTATAATGTGTTTCTTTGTTTCACGACATAAGCTCCGTGAGAACCTTTTTGTTTGATCTTTGTATCCCCGGGGTCTAGAATGGTACCTGGCACATAGTAAGAGCTGAGTGAATTTTTGTTGTTTTTTGATAGAAATAAAGCACTTTTTCTGTTCTCAGTGAAACAGATGTGTAAATGCATTGTTTTCTTCAATATAATAGTTTGAAAGGACAACCTGTAGAGTTTGAGGAACATTGTTTTGTGCAGGAGACAGCAATGTTGTGGTGCCACTGTATATCCTTACCTTTTTAGTACTGTCAAGCAGTGTCATATGTGGATGGTTTTATTTTTTTGGTTTGGAATAGCGGTCAGTCAGGTTTAAAATCTAGAATAAGTAATTATATTTTCACTAACATGGTTTTAACCTTTTAAAATCTTAGATATTTTTGAAGATTATGCTTCTCCCACCACAGCAGCCCAGACTCTCTTATATACTGCTGCAAAGAAAAGAAAAGAGGTATTTCATTTTTCTTTTTAAATCCAAAACTGAAAGGTGGCCTGTGTTGAGTTGATACTCTAGTATATCCCTAGTATTTGAGAAATTATGTTGTTATTCGTTATAATTTGTCACCTTAAGGATTTTTTTTTTCCTCTCCTGGTGAGGGGAAAGGGGGTATCATGGTTATTTCGTTTTCTTAATAAATTATACTTTTCTTATTGAGCTTATAGTTGCTTGATAAAACATAATAAAATGGCTTTATTTTTAAAAATTTGTGCATCATAGTTAATACTATAGTAAGACAATGAAAGTTCATGTAGACTAAATGGATTCTTCTGTTTCTTTAGGTGTTGCCAAAAATGATGGCATTCTGTTATCAAATCCTGACAGACCCGAACTTTGACCCTAGGAAGAAAGATGGAGCCCTGCATGTGATTGGTTCCCTAGCTGAGATTTTACTGAAGGTTAAGATAATCAAAATTTAATTTACTTAATAACATTGTAAAGTACAGGCAAATGAGAGAATATGAAAGTTATGGCTAATTTAAAGCTGGTGACTACCTCTGGATAATTGAGTTCACAACTATCCTCCTTTCTGTCATCTATTTCTTTAATTAAAAAGAAAATTTGACTGTTTAAAGTTTTCAGTATGAAACTATTGATATGTGAAAGGGATACAAAGTATCTTATGTCTACAAAATCAATCAATATCAAACTGATATAAGGTAATATTTGTCTTGTTTTAAAACATGCAATATATAGGTCAAATAATTTTACAAAATTAGAAGTATATTAAATGCAAGTCATAGTAAACACACTTGATTAGGAAGTGATTCTTACGTATGAAAAAGAAATTGATAAGTTGAAATTTGTTTCCTAATAGAAGAGTTTATTCAAGGACCAAATGGAGCTGTTTCTACAAAATCATGTATTTCCATTATTATTGTCTAACCTGGGATATCTTCGAGCTAGAGTAAGTTTTTCATATTTCTGTTATGTATCTTAAATCTTCATAAGATAATTATTCAAATAAATGTTTTTTGGATAAATTGACCTTTTGCCACATATTGAGATGAAATAGAGTCAATTAGAATGTCTGCCTATGGTCACATCAGCTGAATAAAGGACAGACTATTAAAGAAAAAGATTTATAGGCTGGGCGCAGTGGCTCATGCCTGTAATCCCAGCACTTTGGGAGGCTGAGGTGGGCGGATCACTTGAGATCGGGAGTTTGAGACCAGCCTGGCCAACATGGTGAAACCCTGTCTCTACAAAAATACAAAAAATTAGCTGGGCTTCATGGCAGGCGCCTGTTATCCCAGCTACTAGGGAGGCTGAGCCAGGAGAATTGCTTGAACCCGGGAGGCGGAGGTTGCGGTGAGCTGAGATCGTGCCACTGCACTCCAGCCTGGACAACAGTGAGACCCTGTCTCAAAAAAAAAGGAAAATATTTATGGATTTTATTTCCTGCTGGTTTTATTTCATTTGTCACCCTAGCCTCACTTGCTGCATATGTAAAACATGAAATGAGAAAGGTGATTTTATAGCAGTGATACAATTTAAATTCACAAATGGATTTATTTTGTGTATAAAATGACATGAAATTCCAGATTGGCTAAGAACTTGAATTTGATTTTCAGTATATTAGGTAGATTTGCCTTAGTAAAATGGAGAGATTAATAATCCATGTGAAATTGTGCTCTATGTGTATATTCTTTTAGAATCAATATATTTTATGGAGAAATAGAAACAGGACTTTTATTCAAGAGCCTAGCATTTCTCTTTATAAATATATCAACACAAAAATGTCTTGCTAAAAACAACATATATTAACAATGCCTTGTACACTAGAAAGCATTTTATAAAATAATAGTTACTAGCGCAATATCTGGGCAAATGTGGACTAGGGACGCTGAGGGCACATGAGCATTTTTACAGTGGGGCTCCTACCTTTGAGAAGTTATATGAATTGTGATTCTCTTGCTAAAAGTCTTTAGTAACTAGAATTAATTTCTGTTGATTGTGTTTGATGCACACAGAGAGTAAAATATAATAATGATTCTGTGGTCTAATAGTTAAAATGTGATCATCTATACCAGGTTTAAAATTTTTGGTACCTATGAGAGTGAAAAAAAGGAAGCTTACTAAACCAGTTAGTGTAAGGGAAAATAATGTTTTACCTAAGTGTGACAAATGAATTTCAGATACTGGTTTGGAGTTGCTTTTACATATAACAAATTAATTATGAGTTATAATATTTATTAAAAGCGTAAATAGATTTTTGTCAAAGACATATTTGGCTTCTTTTTCTCTTTCCTATGAAAAATGTTATTGCATATGGGTAATTTAGAAGTAATGAAAATGCCTTACTTGTAAAAAGGGGGATGTAGAAGTTAGAAACTAAGGCTACTGTGTTACCCCAAAAGCAAACATTTCTTCATAGAATTGATATTTTACTAAGAAGTTCTTATATCTGTGATATTATTACAGAATGCTATAATCCTAATAGCTCCCTACTTACCTTTTTTAATAATACAGTCTTGCTGGGTACTTCATGCATTTAGTTCTTTGAAGTTCCATAATGAGCTCAATCTAAGAAATGCCGTTGAATTAGCGAAGAAGAGCCTGATTGAAGATAAAGAGATGCCTGTCAAAGTTGAAGCTGCCCTTGCTCTTCAGTCTTTAATTTCTAACCAGATACAAGGTAAAGCCAAAATACCTTTTAGACATCTTCTCAAATAATTTCATTTACTTTCTTCCCTAATGAAGATGCATCTCCATGTCTGAGGGTTCAGGGTTTGGAATTCTGAGGTTTTGCCCTCTCAGAATTTTGTAGGAATTTATTCTTGTCCTTTTTAGGTGTTCCTATTGACTGTAGTTTTCAGAATTTTAGGTTAGGAAACATGTTAATCATTGTGGGGCCCTAGGATAGGCTGGGCATAAAGAGACCTGGGCCCAGTTTTGATTTTGCTCCTAACTTGCCATGGAAACCTGGGCAAGGTGTGTGATCTGTCAAGGCTCAGGTTTCCACATATTTAAGTTTAGGGGAGTTGGACTGAATGACTTCATGATTCCTTTCACCTCTGGGATTCTGATTCCCCTAGTTTTGAAAGTAGCAAGTAGTATTTCTAGTGAGTGATAACAGACGTCTCATTTGTTCAGTGTTCTGATCAAAGTTCAAATAAACCTTTGAAAGTAAGTTCAGCTTTATGAAGAACGTGAACGTAGTTTGCCTCTATTCAGCAATGTTTCAGTGGGAGGATTGGATATTGTACACATGGCAAGGGAGGGTGGTAGAGATGGCCTGGGGCAGGGAAGGGGCCCCATCAGTATTCGGGATAGTCTTCACGTACATGATTTTTTATAACTTGTCATGAGAACTGATTCATGTTTTCCAAGTCATTCTGATGACCAAGTGTATGTATAATTAGAATTTCTCAGTGGGGGCTATTAGTATTTTGGGATAGTTTCTGCACAGGACAGTTCTCTCCTGTGCAGGACTTCTTATCCTTATATTACTCTTGGGAAACTGATATATTGGTGAACATTATTTAGGTACAGCTTTGTAACTTACCACAGAGCAAGTGTGTATCTAGAACCTGATTTAGGTATTACCCTGGGTCACTTGACCTTGTGACCAAGTTAATTCCTTTTATCATCTGGGCATGGTAATTTTTATTACTTTTGTTTGTTTTATTGAATTAGCTAAGGAATATATGAAGCCACATGTGAGGCCTATTATGCAGGAACTGTTGCACATTGTTAGAGAGACAGAAAATGATGATGTTACTAATGTCATCCAGAAGATGATATGTGAATACAGTCAAGAGGTAGCCTCAATTGCTGTTGATATGACCCAACACTTGGTAAGACCGGGCAGTTTTATGTTAATTTGGTTTAGAAACCTTGAGTAATCTAAATAAACTCCAAAATATGGAGTTCAGTTTTATTTGTACAGTCATGTGCTGCTTAACAACATTTCAGTCAATGACAGATTGCATATACGATGGTGCACTCCTAAGATTATAATACCGTATTTTTACTGTACCTTTTGTATGTTTAGATACAAATAATTCCATTGTGTCATGATTGCCTAAGTATTCACTACATTAGCAAACTGTATAGGTTTGTGGCCTTGGAGCAATAGGCTATGCCATCTAGATTTGCCTAAGTACATTCAATGATGTTCAAGCAAGGATGAAATTGCCTAACGACACATTTCTCAAAATATATCCATGTTAAGCGATGCATGACTGTAACTGAAATATTGATAAAAAAATTATTCTGATATTACTATAGTTCATTAGACTTTAATCACATTTAGGATAATTTCTTTCATCTAGAATATTCTGAAATTTTATAATATGTGCTTTCTAAAGTTTTAATTTCTGGGCTTTGAATCAGGAAGCTCATTTCCTTCAGTTTGGGGCAATTTATTGTTTTACTTTTTTGATAAATTTCTCCTTACTATTTTTTTTTCTGTTTGTATTTCCTGATATGGAGAATCACATCTGGACTGTGTCTCTTAATTTTTTTAAAAACTTTTCCTCCTGTTTTCCATGTCTGTTTTTTTTTTTTGTTTGTTTCATTTTCTAAGTGATTCCTCGACTTCTCAATCTTCTATTGCATTTTTCTTTTTACTATTACTTGATTTCACTTGTCCTAGATTGTGATTTTACTTGCTTAGTGACAACCAGAAGTTAAATATTAGCTCTCTGGATATAATAGTTAATGTAAATAGCTATATTTAAAACATGACAAGTTCTGTTATTTTAAGAAGAGAGATGATTCAGTCAGCAAAGTGCAGACTTCAAAGTTTGAGCAATGCAGACTTCAGATGTGTGACACTGCCATTTTGCTAACTTTTGTAAAGCGGGGACGTAACAGTACTACTAATTGCGGAATACTTTAATGTTATTTTCATAGGCTGAGATATTTGGCAAAGTTCTTCAAAGTGATGAATATGAAGAAGTTGAAGACAAAACAGTAATGGCTATGGGAATTTTACATACCATTGATACTATCTTAACAGTTGTAGAAGATCATAAAGAGGTGAGATTTCTTTGTGGTTTATGATATAATAGTAGCATTTAACTGAAATTTATGTGATCAGTGGCCATGAATTTTGAAGTCTCCACTTTTAAATTGCTACTTAGTTATGTTGCTAGGCTTTAAAAATTGCCCTCACATTTTATGGAAACATATTAAAATGACTGAGTAACATTATAATATTACATCATAATATTTGTAATATTATAATGTAAATATTATAAAGTATATAGTATATCCCTTTATATTAACTTGAGTTCAGTTAATCATATCTGCTATGTGCCAGGCTAGGTTCTTGGGGAATACCAAATTGAATAAGAAATGAGCCCAGCTTTCTGGGAACCAACAATCTAGAATTCTTGGTAGAGAGTGACAGACAGCAGTTCAATCACAGTGGCAAGTGTTAGGTAATGGAACAGAATTCTGATATAACAAGTACTGTAAAAATGGAAAGGAATAAATGAAAGAGCTGAAAAGCATATTTACTCAACTGAATTCCAAAGTGTTATTGGGATAAGACTTTATACAGCTATTTATCTAGTGCTTTCACATCCATCAGCTGATATGATCTTACTGGTGCCACCATGACATAGCTAGCACAGGTAATGGTAGTCTGTTTTGCAGAAGCAGAAAACAAAGTTCAGGTGGATTTAAGAAACTTGCTCATGGTCCCAGAGCTAGTAAGTTGTACATTTGGGTTTGTAGTCACATCATTTTGATAATGTATCAGTTTATCCCCATTTAAAACCTACAGCTGCTTCCCAAGTATCCCATGGCCTCTCCTTAACTCAAATTAGATTTTTGTTCATTGCTTCTGTGAGTGCAAGTTGACTTGTTTGGCACTGATGGCAATTATTGTTTTACAAGGTGAGCACTTAGGAAGCAGGTGCTAGTACTACTTTTATTTGTTTATTTAATTTTTTGAGACAGTCTCACTCTGTCACCTAGGCTGGCGTGCAGTGGCATGATCTTGGTTCACTGCAACCTCCACCTTCCGGGTTCAAGCAATTCTCCTGCCTCAGCCTCCCGAGGAGCTGGGACTACAGGTGTGTACCATCACACCCAGCTAATTTTTATATTTTCAGTAGAGATGGGGTTTCACCACGTTGGCCAGGCTGGTCTTGAACTCCTGACCTCAGGTGATCCACCCGCTTCAGCCTCCCAAAGTGCTGGGATTAAAGGCATGAGCCGCCATGCCTGGCTGCTACTACTACTTTAAATAGCATTGTTAAACCATGTAGCTGTTGGGTTTTTTTTTTGATTTTGTGGGTTTTTTTTTTTTTTGTTTTGAGACAGAATCTCACTCAGTCACCCAGGCTGGAGTGCAGTGGCTCAGTTTCTGCTCACTGCAAGCTCCGTCTCCTGGATTCACGCCATTCTCCTGCCTCAGCCTCCCGAGTAGCTGGAACTACAGGTGCCCGCCACCATGCCCAGCTAATTTTTTTGAATTTTTTTTATTAGAGACGGGGTTTCACCTTGTTAGCCAGGAGGGTCTCGATCTCCTGACCTCGTGATCCGCCCACCTCGGCCTCCCAAAGTGC
The DNA here is from genome assembly GCF_000001405.40 of Homo sapiens. Taxonomy (NCBI): domain Eukaryota; kingdom Metazoa; phylum Chordata; class Mammalia; order Primates; family Hominidae; genus Homo; species Homo sapiens. The sequence goes on along the minus strand of NC_000012.12, from coordinate 30,659,602 downwards.
TGGGATTACAGGTGTGAGCCACCGTGCCCAGCCGTAGCTGTTGGTTTATCCTGTGTTTATGACGTGCCAATGGAAGATGACTTGGTTTTTTTTTTTTTGTTTATTTGTTTGAGACAAGTCTTGCTCAGAGACAAGTCTTGCTCTGTTGCCCAGGCCGGAGTGCAGTGACACAATCTCAGCTCACTTCAACCTTGGCCTCCCGGTTCAAGTGATTGTGCTGCCTCAGCCTCCCGAGTAGCTGCCTGCCACCACGCCAGGCTAATTTTTGTATTATTAGTGGAGAAGGGGTTTCACCATGTTGGTCTGGCAGTCCTGGAACTGCTGACCTGAAGTGATATGCCCGCCTTGGCTTCTGAAAGTGCTGGGATTATAGGCATGAGCCACTATGCCCGGCTGACTTGGTTCTTAAAAATGGCTTGATAAGGCCCGGCGCGGTGGCTCATGCCTGTAATCCCAGCACTTTGGGAGGCTGAGGCGGGTGGATCACGAGGTCAGGAGATCGAGACCATCCTGGCTAACACAGTGAAACCCCATCTCTACTAAAAATACAAAAAATTAGCCTGGCGTGGTGGCGGGCGCCTGTAGTCCCAGCTACTTGGGAGGCTGAGGCAGGAGAATGGCATGAACCCGGGAGGCGGAGCTCGCAATGAGCCGAGATCATGCCATTGCACTCCAGCCTGGGGGACAGAGCGAGACTCTGTCTCCAAAAAAAAAAAAAAAAAAAAAGGCTTGATACTCTTCTGGACTAGTCTTCATTTGCCTAAAGGGCTTAATTTTTATTTTCATTTTCATTATTTTATTTTTGTGTCCTTCTGTATTGAAACTAAATGGTCCTCTTGGTAACAGTGAGATGTTCCAAATTAAATTACAAGTAAATTTAAGGGATAGTTCTTTTGTCTTATACTTAGGACTTGTATTTTAAATTTGAAGAGACCTTAGAAATCACCTTATCCAGTTTTCACAAGTGTGTGTGGGGCGTAGTAGAATGAGCTGCAGGGGTAGTTTAAAAACAAAACAGCATCTTTTCTGTTTTTATTTTTTCTCTTGATATTAAATTTATTTTGAATTCCAAATAATGTTAAAGGGACAGGTGAACTTATTGTGATTATCAAGAGAGGCATGGGTGAAAATTGAGACACACTAATATAGCATCCTTACCTAAAGACAAAAAAAACCTAAAGCCTTCAGCTAAATGGCTTTACCAAGGCCATGAATAATTACAGGCAAAACCAACCGGAATCTTCGTCTCTTGACCAAGATTTTGAGCTTTAACTTATTAAAAGCAAACTTTGAAAACAATATTTCCTTAAAAGGAAAAACCACATTTATGAAACACTGACAAATAGTGTATGAAACACAAAATTGTGAATCTAAAATAGGTGCTTAAGCATATGCATTTTTGTTTAATGGTTTTAAGCATATTGACAGTTTTTTAAAGTGGGAAATTTTGGATCATTTGAACCTTAAGACAGTAGTTTAAGTTGAATATTAGAATATACTTGATGGTTGAAATAGGACATTTACACGAAAAATGTAACCCGTCATAGATTTTAACTTATTTTAAAATATTTGATACCAACATATGTTGAAAAATTCAAAAGATGTGAAAAGAAAATTCAGTGAAATTTTACCTTCTCACTCAACTCCCCAGCTATCTAATTCTCCTCTCTGGAAGCAGCTATTTTTTTCCTTTTTTTTAAACCAGGTTTTCGGGTCCTTCTAGAGATTTTTCTATTAACATATAAGCAAAAAGTGAATGTGTATATTTTTCTTTTACGAAAATGATAGCATGCTATACACAGTTTTTATTTGCCATTTTTAACTTAATATATCTTGATGATCCTTCCATGTCAATCAATAAAGTTATATATTTTTAATGGTTGCTTAATATTCCCTTGTATGATGTGTCAAATTTATTTCACCAGTCCCGGTTTAGTGGATATAATTTAACTGTCTCTTGTTTAAATGGGCATTTGATTGCTAGTAATCACAAACATTGCTGAAATGAATGAATGGCCTTTTATGTGTCATTTTGCACACATAATATGTGTGAAGGGTAAATCCCTTGAAGTGGAATTGCTGGTTTGCATCGTCATTTGTATGGGTAAGTTTGAAGGATGTTGCCAACTTGTCCTTCATTGTGTATACCATTTACACTCCAGAAATCAATATACAACAGGGTCTTTCTTCCCAGCCCCATAATTGTGATCATTTCCAGTCTTAATAGGTGAAAATTGTTAATGTTGCACTTGGAATTTGTACTCTTACCATGTATTATAACGAACATCTTTTTATAAACACAGGCAAAGATTATAAAAAAAGAAACACATTTGTTTTCTATTGTATTTCAATTTTTAAAAATTCACTAATTTTATGTAAGGGGAATTTGATCTTTGTGATACCATTTGAAAATATTTCACTCATTTTTTTTTACTTCCCCATGCCCCATGCAAAATTCTTTAATTTTTTAGTCAGATGATTTCATTCTTTTCATTTCTTATTTCTGGGCTTTGAGTCACTTTCCCTTTTCAGGATTATACAATAATTCTTTTTATTCTATTTTTTTATGGTTTATTTCTTCACACTGAAATCTTTTATCTATTAGGAATTTATTTTGGTATAAAATATATGGTAAGGAACTAATATAAATTGTTATGGATTTTACCCCCATTTCTGTCAGTCTATTTTTCAAAATTTTCTGATTATTCTTGCATGTTTAGTTTTTCACATGAAGTTTAGAATTGTCAAGTTACCGTCTCAAAAATGTCCTCTTGATATTTTTATTGGCACAATATTAAATTTATGTATTAATTATGATAATTTTAAGCTTAATATTTAACATTTATCTTTAGATTACCCAGCAGTTAGAGAATATCTGTCTACGGATCATTGATCTTGTTCTGCAGAAACATGTAATTGGTAAGTTCAAAGGTTAAATAAAAAGATAAATTGAAAAAATTTTAAAAATTTGAACTCAAAGTATAATTTTAGCCCTTCAGATTTAACAAGATGGACAATTTTGAGAAAGAGAAGCATAATCACTTCAATTTTTGGATGTCCTTTCTAGTGTTAAATATCTGTATTTTCATTCAGAGATAAAAAATTATACATCCAACGAATAATTTTTGATTTTAGAATTTTAAAGGACAGTAATTTTAAATTGTACATTGCTAGAAATGAACTGGGATGAGGTTTAGGTGAGGTTACCTTAATCTGGGATTGAAAAATGTTTAATAGGCATTTTTTAAAATCAGAAATGTGAAATGGCTGGGCACCGTGGCTCACACCTGTAATCTCAGTAGTTTGGGAGGCTGAGGTGGGTGAATTGCTTGAGTCCAGAAGTTCAAGACCAGCCAGTGCAACATGGTGAAACACTGTCTCTACAAAAAATAAAAAAAATTAGCTGAGTGTGGTGGCATGTGTCTGTGGTGCCAGCTACTCTGTAGGCTGAAGTGGGAGGATCACATGAGCCTGGCAGGTAGAGGCTGCCATGAATTGTGATTGTGCCACTGCACTCCCCCTGGGCAACAGAGTGAGATCCTGTCTCAAAGTATGAATTAATTGTCCTATTATCTATTATGGTACCTGACTTCTGAGTAGAATCAGTAACTAATGCTAGATGTTACAAGCTGATGGGAATTTTGTAGAGGAGGTGAGTCTTCCATCGTATTCAAGCATTTTGAAGATGCTAGCCCCACGTCATGTGGGTGTGACACAGATGCAAGCTGTGTAGTACTCAGATAGAAGGATGCAGGAAAAGCCTGTCTCTGATTAAGAGCAGTTGTCTCCAGGCTTTTTATTGTTCACTCTGTTAGTAAAAAGTTGAGCATGCACTGCTAATATATGTGAATAATATTTGAAGAGTACTTGAATATAACATGGTAGATATAAACAGTGGGATACTATTCAGCCTTAAAAAGGAAATCCTGTCATTTGTGACAACATGGGTGAACCTGGAGTACATTATGCTAAGTGAAATAAGCCAGGCACAGAAAGACAGATACCACAAGATCTCAAACTCATAGAAAGAACAGAATTTAGTTAGCAGGAAGTGGAGGGAGGGGAGATGTTGGTCAAAATGGTGACCATAGTTAGTAACCATGTATTATATACTTGAAAATTGCTAAGAGTAGATTTTAAGTGGTGTCACCACAAAAAGGTATGTGAAGTAATGGATGCCAGATTTAGTCATTCCACAAAATACATATATTTCAAAACGGTGTATAAATCATAGATACAATTTTTATTTGTCAATTAAAAAATAAATATTTTTAAAAAGTACATCTTTCAGTAAAAAGACCAGTGGTTGCCAGGGCTTGGGGATGGGAGAGAGGGAAGGATGAAGAGGTAGAGCACAGAAGTTTTATGCAGTGAAACTACTCTGTATGATACAATAATGATGAATACGTCACTATACATTTGTCAAAACCCTTAGAATGAACAATGCAGAGTGAACCTTAATGTAAACTGTGGCCTTTAATTAATAATAAAAGAATTTCTGAAAGTTCTGTTTTGGCTTATTTCACTTAACATAGTGTGTCCATCTCTGTTGTTACAAATAATAGGATTTTCTTTTTTTTTTAAGGTGGACTGGTACTCCATCATGTATATATACCACATTTTCTTTATCTGTTCATCTGTCAGTGGACACTTAGGTATTTTCATATCTTGGTTATTGTGAAACATGCTTCAGTGAACATAGGAGGGCACATTATCTCTTCAAGATCCTGATTTTAATTCCTTTGGATATATACCCAGTACTAGGATGACTTGATCATATGATAGTTCTATCTTTAATTTTTTGAGGAACCTTCATACTGCTTTCCACAGTGGCTGTTTTTACTCTCTCACCAAGAGTATACAACAGTTTCCTTTTTCTCTACATCCCCTCCAGCATTTAACTTTCGTCTTTTTGATAATAGACATTCTCGTAGATATGATGTGGTTTTGATTTGCATTTCCCTGATGATTAGTGATTTAAAATATTTTTTTGTATACTTGTTGGCCATTTTTATATAATCTTTTGAGAAATATCCATTCAGTTCCTTTGCCCATTTTTAAGTTGGGTTATTTTCTTTCTACTGAATGGTTTGAGTTCCTTATATATTTTGGATATTAAATCTTCATTTGATATAGATTATAAATATTTTCTCTCATTTTGGAGGTTGTCTGTTCTGTGAATTGTTTTCTTTGCTATGCAAAAGCCTTTTAGTTTGATGTAATCCTATTTTGTCTGTTTTTGCTTTTGTTGTGTGTGCTTTGGGGTCATATCCTCATATAAAAAAAAAAAAAATCATTCCCTGGACCAGTGTTCCAAGTTTCCGTGAAGCTTTTCCCCTGTGTTTTTTTCTAGTAGTTTTATCATGTCAGATCTTAGAGCTTAAGTATTTAATTAATTTCAAGTAGATTTTTGTATGTGGTGTAAGATGAGGGTCTAATTTGATTTTCTGCAAATGGATATTTAGTTTTCCCAGTGCCATTTATTGAAGAGACTGTCCTTTCTCCATTGTGTGTTTTTAGCATCTTTGTTGAAAATTAATTGACCCTAAATGGGTAGATTTACTTTTGGGCTTTGTAATCGGTTCCATTGGTCTGTGTGTCTGTTTTTATCCCAGTGCCATGCTAGAACTTTTAGAAATTCCATATTTAGATAATTTATTTTTCAAATTATTTTCTTACATAAATTATTCATCAATATTTGTAATTTCCATTTTATTTTGCTAGCTTTTGAATATATTAAGTTTTAAGTAATGTTAGAGAAACCTTAATCAAGTTTCCAGGGTGACCACTAGTTTTTATAAGAGGAAAAACCTTTCAAGTTAGACTTCTTTGCTCAGTGGTATGGTAGGAACTATTTGAAATTTTTGTTGAGATTTGTGTTTCCTGGCTGTACGTGTAGATATAATTTACTTTTGACTGAGGATAATGATATTTGTGAGTATAAGAACATTTCCTTTGAACTCTTCTACTTTATAGTGGGTCTTATTGTCTTGATTAACTTGAAGAATACTGTACGTTTTACAAGTTTTGTAAATTGACAAAATACTGCCCAGTATATAGTTGTTAGTAAAAGTATAAATTTGAGATAGGTAGATACTTTAGTCTGATATAATTAAGCTCTCCAAAGAATATTATTAATTATTTGTACATTTTAAATCCTCGACATAAATGAGGAATGATAATCTATTCCTTCTTGTATCTATTTCTAATACAGTTTTATAAATATAGATTATAAAATAGAAAAAAACTTTATTTTTTCAATAGTATAAGAAAGTTTAGTGAAAACAAATTTTTGCCTTGCCTTATTGAACAGAGGGGCAGATCTTGGTAAGAAATGGAAGGAGGCAGATACATAGCCGAAGATACAAATACTGAGAAAGGGAGGCTTATGAGTACATTGGATAGAGGAGGACTCTGTGTGCGTAGGTAGTCTAAACCCTCCTCTGTGTGGTCTTTGTTTTAACTTTTGCTATTTCCTAGCATTCTAACTAGAGATTTTCTTTCTTCTAGAATTCTATGAAGAAATTCTTTCCCTGGCATACAGTTTAACCTGCCACAGTATTTCCCCTCAAATGTGGCAGCTTCTAGGTATACTATATGAAGTGTTTCAGCAGGATTGCTTTGAATACTTTACAGGTATGGCTTTGACCATATAAAATTTTTGCTTTTCTGTGTCTAGATACTTCTTCCTGTTGACACCTGAAATAAAAACACATATGATTCCAATATTGATCAGAAAATGTTTTTATTTCCCGGTCACATAAAAGCTGGGGCTATTGTAGCAGTGTTTTTCAGCCCTAGGTATATAGGCAGAGGAGGTAGGCTGTATTTCTTATTGAGTCTTAAGTTAGTTTATGACCAGAGCATATATCCATATATTAATTTAATAAGTATTTTATGGACACCAACTATATTCCAAGCCCTATTCTAATCTCAGCAATCCAGCAGTGAGCAAAATAAACAGGCTTTGCCCTTTTGAAGCTTACATTCTAATGGGGATGATGGGAGGGTAGGGAATCACGCAGACAAATGAGCAAGAAAATATAAAGTATGTCAGATAGGGATGAGTGTGCAGTGGAGAAAGGGAAAAAATTCAGCACAATTACTTCATAAATGATGAGCATCTTAGTCTTTCTGCTCCACATTTTCCCCATCTATAAATACACATCAGACTTATTACTTTCATTTCTAGCCTTTTGTGGTTGCATGGGAAGATACTAATGTGTGGGTGCTACAGAAATATGGTTTCAGTGGGAATAATTTATTTCTATTTCTGTCACTCAAGTCTCATTGGGATTTTGATTTTTTTTCAGACATGATGCCTCTCCTGCATAATTATGTGACAATAGATACAGATACCTTACTATCAAATGCAAAACATTTAGAAATTCTTTTTACAATGTGTAGGAAGGTAAGCATGACCTAATCTATTGTTTCAGTGGTTCTTAACTAATGTTTGCCTGTTTTGCTTCAGGATACTTTTTCAGTTTGTTTCTTACACATTTAGTTCTGCATTATCTTCATCAACATATATTTTTTCATTTGTATTTTCAAAAGGATCTTTGGGATTTGAAAGTTTCATATTGTGTGTCGTGCTTATGAATGTTTGCCACTTCTATATCTGTACTTTTTACTTTTTGTTTTTTCTTTTGGACATGAATTTTCTACTTGATTGAAGTGCTAGGAAAATTAACCACACGTTTTGTTAATCAGTGACAAATGGAATGATCTTTTTTATTTTTTAATTTAATGTATATATTGGAAGTCACTAGATGTAGGTAATTTGAGCATAAACAACATAAGATAAAAATTTTAATAGTTGGAAAAGCATCATTTAACAAGATAATCTATAATCTACAATCTACATAATGGCTACTGTTATCCTTATACACAAACATGATTGTCTGCCATATTGTCTTTGCCACAAGATAGGTTTGGCCCACTATTGGTTATCTTTTGGGATCTTTGGCTAAATAACGGTTTTCTTCTCCTTTAGGTAAATAAATAAGTAAATATATACATACACACACACACACACATAAATATGAAACTGAAACTATATTGCATAAAGCTGGCAGGCAGATTTTATAAAGCTCAAATAACCAGAAACCAAAACGTTTGGCCGTAGAGCTGGGAGTGAAATAGCTAGTGTACAACCCTCCCAACACACTTTTGTTTTCCTTACCAGAAGGGGTGTACCCAAAATCTGGTAAGAGCTCTGCACTGATAATCAGTAGATCTGGTTTAGGTCTAGGTCTCAGTTCAGTTCTAAAGAGTCAGGGAAATTTTGGGAAGTCAGTAAGCTGCTTCAGGTGTAAAGTGAAGGGGCTGAACTGTGAGTTGTAATGATTCATTTACCTCTGTGGATAACCCATGTTGTTAAATCATAATCACCGGGCAGTCTTCAGTTTTCCCTGTTAGAGAGGTAGCTGATAGAGAAAGAGGGAAAGAAACAAGTAAAACAGTTCTGTGTATTCCATTAGTAATTCACAGCTTCCCCTGTGTATTTGCAGATATAGTAAAATTGATGTTCACAATGATTTCCTTATGCTTATCAAGTAGTTAAAATATATTTCATATTCTTTTATGAATATGAAATACTAGTTTTAATACTAGCTAATATTTGTCGAATTCTTATTGTATACCAGCCATTTTCTAAGCACTTTCTATAATATTAACCTTTATGACAGTATGAGGAAGGTATCACATTTGTATCAAAAGGAAACTAAGACATAGTTTCTTGCACTATGCTGAGGTTAGGAAATAGTTGCAATCACATAGCTACTATGTGTTGGAGCCAGATTTGAACCTAATCTGACTCCAGAGCCTATTTAAAAAATTACAAGATACATTTTTGTTTTCTTTCCTTTTGGCAAACCAAAACAAATGGTCCCCAAGTAAATGCAATTTTGAGAAAAGGGAGTAATTATTTTTCTTTTTGTATCATACGACCCCATGAAGTAGGTTCTTTTATTCCCATTTTATAGATGGGGACAGTAAAAGAGGTTAAGTAACGTTTCTAAAAACACAGCTAATAAGTGGAAGAGCTGCGGTTTGAACCTAAGCAGCCTGGTTCCAGAGTCCATTCACATTTAGAAGCTAGACTGTGGTATACTGTCCTAGAGATAGCATTTTAAATTTATGTAAATACAGTTGACTCTTGGCTTTGCCTGATATCTGCTTATCATTCAGCTCACTATTTTCCAGCTTCCAAAATGTGTATTGCTGTTCTCTCTACTTTTTTCTGTCTTTGTATATGTACATCTTTAAAATTTCTCTGTTGTCATTTTGATAGCATTTTGGGAGAGAATGAAATTAAATGGGAATGTTAAATCTGTCAGAATTATCTGGAATTTCTTAATTAATTTTTCTTAAATTTTATTTTTCTAGAAAATCATCTAATCTGAGTTTTTAAATGTAAAGAATATAGTGTTCTTTATAGTATTATTTCTAATCTGTCTTTTGTCTGTATTTGTCTCTTTCCTAATATTTTTAATGTTTTGCTTTTTTTTCTTCTTAAAAATAACTTATATAAAAAGCTTCTTACTTCGTTAAGTCTTTTTTTTCAATGAATTTGCTTTTAGTTCTCTCTGTTACCTCTTTTTGTCTATATTTTAAATTTCTGGCCCACCCTTATTTCTTTAAGTCTATTCTTTTTCTTATGTCTTATATTTGAATCATTAATTTATTCTTTTTACCTTAAACAATTTTTAATATAAGCATGCTCTAGGAACATTATTGGGAATCTTATTATAAGGCAGTCATATTCCACATTTTATGTATGAACATGTGCATTGTGGAATTGTTTATAATAGTGAAAATACAGAATTAATAATAGGGGAACTGTCTGATAACTTTGTTATATTCACCTACTGTCATATTGTATAGTTATAAATGGTTACAATGTCCATGAAAAATATTCCTAATTATTAAGTTCATGTTGGAGAATTGAAAGGTATGTAATATGAAATTATGGTGGTTATGAAAAAAATGGGTTCATATGGACCAGGATTCAAAAGGAACAGAAAAATAGTTTCATTGTTTAATAAGAAGATTATTTTGTTTTGGTTTTGATTTCATTTTGTAGTTTTGTTGCCTTTAAAGGGAAGCTTCATTTATGTGGAAAATTAGCTCATATAGTCTACTTTATTAATCCAAGGTCAAATAAGTGAATTATTGCTCCTTATAAGAAATGAGATGATGGATGGAATTTATTTTGACCATTCTTCTTTGGGTTGGTGAGGTAAACTTGCACAGCAAGCAAAGCTGTGGTTCCTATGGCTGAATTTATATGGGACATTTGTGCATGTGGACTTGATTAACCTCTATGCAGTGCCACTTACTGCTGAGCTAAATTGTAATTACTGCAGGTACTATGTGGAGATGCAGGAGAAGATGCAGAGTGTCATGCAGCTAAACTTCTGGAAGTCATCATTCTTCAGTGCAAAGGAAGGGGAATTGATCAGGTAATATATGTCTGGAAAGTGCCTTACTTGAGGGTTACATTTGAAGTTTACATGCCTGCTTGACTTTTCATTTATATTATGATGAAAAATGGAAAGGACAGCCTATAGATTGTGCTTTCTGGTGCAAATTCTGTTTAAATGACAAAAAGAGCCAGGTAGTTTGGAAACCGTACCTTGCATTGTAGCTGAAAAAGGTATGCACAGAAAAATATGTAATAATATAAGGGGCTATCAAAAAAATAATGAAGGAAACGTATAAATTCTACTCAGTTGGAGTCTCAGAGATTTCATGTTCCCTTTGTTTTGTGTATCCTATTTAAATACTCCTAGGTACCTTTTCTAACCAGAAATTAAGGTACTATAGAAAAAAATATTTCTTGACCATTTTAAAAGGCTAAATTTTATACTTTATATTTTTCATGTTATAAATTTTTAATCTTTTTTCAACAAGATTAATGCAATTTTTGATACTATTGTGGTATGTTCAATAACTAAGAAAAATGTTGAAATATTCCAGTAAAATTGAATTTTTCTTTTCTGTAAGTTTTGCTTTATGTATTTCTTATAATAGTTTTGAGATCTAATTCACGTTCCATACATTTCATCCATTTAAAGTGTATACATACATGGTTTTTAGTGTATTCAAAGAATTGTGCAACTGTTACACAATTTTAGAACATGTCATTACCCCTCTCCCAAAAAACTCATTAACAGTCACTCGCCCCAAGCTCTGGGCAACCACTATGACTTTGTCTCTATAGATTTGCGTATTCTGGGCATTTGATGTAAATGTAATCATCTTATATGTGGTCCTTCGTGACTGGCTTCTTTCACTTGTCATAGGTTTTCAAGGTTCATCTGTGTGGTAGTGTGTATTGGTACTTTATTTCTTTTAATGCCAAATAATATTTCATTGTATAGTTAAATCACATTTTATCCATTCATCAGTTGTTGGTCATTTGGGTTATTTTTACTTTTTGGCTATTATGAATAATGCTGTTAGGAACTTTTGTGTACAAGTTTTTGTGTGAATATGTTTTCATTTCCTAGGAGTGGAATATGGTCATTCTGTGTTTAATCATTTGAGGGACTGTCAAACTGTTTTTAAAGCAGCTGCACCATTTTCCATTCCTACAGCAATGATAGAGGGTTCCAATTTCTTTGTGTTTTTGCCAGCACTTATTTCATTTGTGAAGTAGTGTCTCATTGTGGTTTTTATTTGCATTTTTATGATGGCTAATGATCTTGAGCATGTTTCATGTACTGATTAGCCTTTTGTATATCTTTTTTTGGAGAAATGTCTAATCGGATCATTTGCTCATTTGTAATTATTTGTCTATTTATTGAGTTGTTGGAGTTCATTATATATTCTACATTGAAGCCTGTTATCGGGTATCATTTGCAAAATTTTCTCCCAATTTGTCTTGATGGTGTCCTTTAAAGCACAAATGTTTTTAATTTTGATGATGTCCATTAATTTTTTTTTATGATTATTGCTTGTGGTTGGTGTCTTTTTTTTTTTTTTTTTTTTTTGGAGACGGTCTCATTCTATCACCTGGGCTGGAGTGCAGTGGCACAATCTTGGCTCACTGCAGCCTTGACCTCCAAATCCTCCCACCTCAGCCTCCTGAGTAGCTGGGACTGCAGGCACGTGCTACTACACCTGGCTAATTTTTGTAGAAAAGTCCTGGGACTACAGGTATGAGCCACTGTACCCAGCCGTTGTCATATTTAAGAAACATTGCTAGCTCCAGTGTCATGAAGATTTATCCTCTTTTGTTCTAAGAGTTTTATAGTTTTTTTCTTATATTTAGGTCTTGATCTATTTTGAGTTAATTTTTGTACATAATGTGAGGAGGGGGTCTGCATTTTAATTCTTTTGCATGTAGTTATGAAGTTGTTTGAGCACCATTTGTGGAAAAGACTATTTTTTCCCCATTGAATTGTCTTGGCATTCTTGTCAAATCAGTTGACTGTAATGTGAGGGTTTTTTCTGGACTCAGTCTATTTGATTTATGTACTTATCTGTTCTTATTCCAGTACTGCATTGTCTTTATTACTTTAGCTTTGTAGTAAGTTTTGAGGTCAGGAGGTTTGAGTCCTGTAACTGCATTCTTTTGTGAGATTGTTTTGGCTAGACAGGGTCCGTTAAATTTTCATACGAGTTTTAGGATCCGTTTGTCAATTTCAGTAAATTAGCCAGCTGGGATTGTGACAGGCATTGTGCTGAATCTGTAGATTAGTTTGAGAAGTATTTCTGTTTTAAAAATAGTCTTTCAATCCCTGAACGTGGGGTGACTTTCTTTTATTTAGGTTTTCTTTAATTTCTTTCAACAATGTTTGGTTGTTATCAGAGTATAAGTTTTTCAATTCTATTCCTAAAATATTTTTATATATTTTCTTTTTGACGCTATTGTAAATGGAGTTGTTTTATTTTCAGGTTTGTTGCCAGTGTATAGAAATATAATTGTTTTTGCATGTTTATCTTGTATCCTGCAACCTTGCTGAACTGATTTATTAGTTTTAATGGTGGTTTAGTGGATTTTTTAGAATTTTCTGTAAACAGGATCATATTATCTACAAATAAGAGTTTTACCTTTCCAGTTTGGGTGCCTCTTATTTTTCTTGACTAATTGCCCTGGCTAGAAGCTGGAGTGCAATGTTGAATAGCTATGATGAAAAGAGACATCTCATCTTGTTCCTGGTCTTAGGAGGGAACACATTCAGTCTTTCACCATTAAGTCTGATGTTACCTGTGGGCTTTTCATATATGCCCTTTTGTCAGGTTCAGTTCTTGACTGTTGCTAACTTGTTGCTTTTATCATGAAAGGGTGTTGAATTTTGCTGAATGCTTTTTTCTGCATCTATTGAGATGATCATGTAGTTTTTGTCCTTTTAGAATAGAGATGTATTACATTAATTGATTTTCAGATTTTAAATCAAACTTGCATTCCTGGTATAAATCACACTTATCAAATATGATCTCTGTATGTATTTCTAGATTAAATTTCCTGGTAGTTTTTAAAAAGTATTTTTGTGTCTATGTGCATAATATATATTGATCTCTAACTTTCTTTTCTTGTGATGTTTTTTGTCTGGCTTTGGTATCAGAGTATTGTTGGACTCATTGAATGAGTTGGGAAGCGTTCATCCTTTCTCTTTGTTCAAAGAGTTGTGAAGAATTGCTCTTCTTTTTTAAATGTTTGGTAGAATTTAGCAGTGAAACTATCTGGGCCTATTTTTGTCTGTGTTTTGTTTTGTTTTGTTTTCGGTGGGTAGTTTTAAATGGCCAATTCAGTCTCTTTATTTGTTATAGATTTATTCGTAGTTTACATTTCTTTTTAAATTCATTTCAGTAGTTTGCATCTTGGAATTTTTCAACGTAATTTATCTAATTCATTGCATGTGGTTCATAGTATTTCCTTATGTCTTTTTGTATCTGTAGGTTCCATAGTAATGACCCTGTTTTGTTCCTGGGTTTAGTAATTAGAGTCTTCTCTCTTTTTTTCTTAGTTGACTAAAAGTTTATCAATTTTGATTTTTTCAAAGAGCTAACTTTTGGTTTTGTTCTCTATTTTTGTTTTCCATTTCATTAGTTTCCACTCTAATCCTTATTTTTTCCCGTCTGCTTGCTTTTTGTTTAGTTGTTCTTTTTCCAATGTTTTAAAGTAACAGGTTAGATTATTGATTTGAGATGTTTGCTTACACTTCTTAAGTCCACAATTTATATTTGGTTCTCTCTCTGTCTCTTTTTTTTTTTTTTTGAGATGAAGTCTTGCTGTGTTACCCAGGCTGGAGTGCAGTGGCGCAATCTTGGCTTACTGCAACCTCCGCCTCCTGGGTTCAAGTGATTCTTGAGCTTCAACCTCCCAAGTAGCTGGTATTACAGGCGTGCGCCATCACACCCAGCTAATTTTTGTTTTTTTAGTAGAGATGGGGTTTCGCCATGTTGGCCAGGCTGATCTCGAACTCCTGACCTCAGGTGATCACCAGCCTCAGCCCCCCAAAGTGCTGGGATTACAGGCGTGAGCCACCGCACCTGGCCTGGTTCTCTTTTACAATGCCTGTATCTTTACTGTAATTTTATCTTTGAGATATTGTCTCATAGCTTTCTTTAACAGTAGTTTATTTTATTCTTTAAGCATTATGATGGCCGATTTGCCATTTTCAAAGTTCATCTTTGTGGCGGGGCGCAGTGGCTTACGCCTGTAATCCCAGCACTTTGGGAGGCTGAGGCGGGTGGATCACCTGAGGTTAGGAGTTTGAAACCAGCCTGGCCAACATGGTGAAACCCTGTCTCTACTAAAAATACAAAAATCACCTGGGCATGATGGCATGCGCCTGTAATCCCAGCTACTTGGGAGGCTGAGTCAGGAGAATCACTTGAACCCAGAGGCGGAGGTTGCAGTGAGCCAAGATTGCGCCATTGCACTCCAGCCTGGGTGATGAGCAAAATTCCTCTGTCTCCAAAAAAAAAAAAAAACAAAAAAAAAAAACACCAAAAAGCAAAGTACATCTTTGAGGTTTGTTTGGACCTGAGGGAGCTTGCTTTGCCTGTCTCCTTCCTTGGCCATCTCTGGTGAACTGCTGGCCCATCTTTTTGCTCTCAATGGAGCTTTACTTACCACCAAAATCTTCATTATTTTTGAGAATGACTTCTGCCTACCCCCAAGCTTTATTGGGGTATTAGTGACAAAAAAATTATGACCTTTCTAAAAAATCATAAAGTTTTACTGATATTTATTTAAAAACCTTTTTTTTTTTAATGGAGATTGGATCTCTCTTTTGCCTAGGCTGGAGTGCAATGGTGCAGTCGTATCTCATGGTAACCTCAAATTCCTGGGCCCAGGTGATCCTCCCATCTTACCTCCTGAGTAGCTGGGACTGACTACAGGCATATGCCACCATGCCCAGCTCATTTTCAAATTTTTTGTAAAGATGAGGTCTCACTATGTGGTTTTGGCCGCTCTCTAACTCCTGGCTTCAAGTGATCCTCCTGCCTCAGCTTCCCAAAGTTCTGGGATTACAGGTGTGAACTACCACCTGTCCCCAACAGGTATCTTTGAAGGCTCTTTTCTCCCTTTGTTATTATGTACTTTTTAGGTGACATAGTGGAGGTGAAAATAAATTATGATGTTAACAAAATAAGAAGGTAGTAAAGCACAAGACATGAGTGGGGCTAAAGAAGTATTTAGTTCTGTTGACTGGATTTTGGAGGGTTCTGAGCTGTAGGCTTTAATAATGGAAACATAGGTTGGGGAGAGGTTCAGAAGACTATAGAATAAATCCATGCCAAAGACTTTAGAATCCATTCTGTACGCCAGAAGCTGGCAAGCTATGGCCTGTGCTGTACCACAACGTGGTGGAAGGTCAAAGGGGAAGTGGATGTATGCGAAGGGGCAAAACCCAGGGGTGTCCTTGCTTTATAACAACCTACTCTCATGGGAACTAGTTCATTCCCACAAAAAGTAATTCAGTTGTGCCAGAATGATAGTGAGAAGTCGCTCATTACATCACAACAGGAGAATGGCCCCAAGGCATTCATAAGGGGTCGACCACTACCATGACTCAAACACTTCCCACTAGGCCCCACCTCCCAAAACCTGCCACACTGGGGATCAAATTTCAACATGAGTTTCAGGAGGACAAACCATATCGAGACCATAGTAGTATTCAAGAATTTGTGTATCAGAAAGTTAAGGACACAAGGTGATCTCTACTGTTAGTGAGGTTACCATTACAATGCACTCAAGTACAGCTGAAGGACTGTATTGATTGGCATTCCATTCCTCTAAATTTCCTGTAAATTAGTGATTACATTTAGTGTTGTCTTGGATTCAGGTTTGACTCACCAGGCTAGAGTGCAAATGGCATGATCTTGGCTCATGCACTTCATGGGTGATGGTGTGTAATTTTACTAGGAGGCACAGTATGTCTGGTGGTCTCTCATGATGTTAGTGTTGCTGATGGTGATCTTCTAATTCTGTCATTTCTTCTTTATTAGGTGAAATATTCCTGTAAAGAGAAATGTTTTCTCATAAATTATCAGGCTACTTTGAGAAACAGCTTGAGTATTTCCCTTTATTTACCATTATTCAAGATAAGTTTCTTACCTAGCATTCTCCAAAGATGATCAGCAAAATGTTTTATTATGTTGTTTGGTTTTAAAAATTTTTAGTATCCTTATGAATGTATAGATCCAAATTTACTCTATGTGTTTCAGTGTATTTTAAGTATACATAGTTTCATTTTTGTCCCATGGGAGCCTCTTGAATTTGTCTTATGAGCCCTTTTAACCTGATTCTAATAGTCTTTGGTAGTTTCCTTGCTGTCTTGGTACGACTAGATATTCCAGGCTTATCTTATAGATGTCTCGTCCTAGCCTGGGAAATGGTATTCAAGACTACAAGCTGGGCACAGGGGATATTCATTGCTATACATATATATCTAAAACATATATATGTATAGTATATATGTGTGTATATATATAATATGTACTATTTATATATCGTATTAATAAATTGATAATTAGCTACATATATACTAATGCATATTAATGTATATAACTAATATGTCGCTATATATATATATTCATTGATATTGGATTGGTCATTGTTTCTACAAAATAGAGCCAAGAAATATGTTGTTTGGCTTTTTTTAGTCAATAAAACATTAATGTACACAGATAATTCTTTTTTTAATTTTAGATTTGGGGGATACATGTGCAGGTTTGTTACATGGATATATTGTGTGATGCTGAGGTTTGGGTTTCTATTGAACCTGTTGTCCAGATAGTGAACACGGTACCCAACAGATCATTTTTCAACCCTTGCCCCATTCTCTCCTTTACCTCTTTTGGAGTCCCCGTACCTATTATTTCCATCTTTATGTCTCTAATACTCTAATATGCACAGATTTTTTTTTCTGTTTTTTTGAGATGAAGTCTCGCTCTTGTACCCCAGGCTGGAGTGGAGTGCAAATGGCTTGATCTCGGCTCACTGCAACCTCCATCTCCTGGGTTCAAGTGATTCTCCTGCCTCAGCCTCCCGAGTAGCTGGGATTACAGGCAACTGCCACCACGCCCGGCTAATTTTTGTATTTTTAGTAGAGATGGGGGTTTCACCATGTTGGCCAGGCAGGTCTCAAACTCCTGACCTTGGGTGATCCTCCTGTCTCAGCCTCCCAAAGTACTGGGATTACAGGCGTGAACCACTGTGCCTGGCCACACACAGGTATTTCTAATTCAGATTCATGACTACATTCTTTATCCTTAACCTACTCGATTCTGTTCTATATCTCCCACACCAAAAATTCTGGTTCTCATCTTAATTACTTGCTTGCTTTATCCCATTAATGGATACATTTAGTCTCAGACTAATTATACCAACATTATTACCAAGAAATGGTTACTACTGTTTGTTTTTTTTAGTAGCTCTTTTTATCTCTAAGATATGTTCATCCACTAGCAATATACAGTGAAAATACAGTCAAATAATTAAATTTTAAAGTTATTAAAATAATCCTCATTTGGTTGATTCACTTACTTCAATTTATCTTAATTTTTAGAAATAGCTTAATTTGCACTCTAGCCTGGGTGACAGAGCAAGACTCTGTCTCCAAAAAAGAAAAAAAAAAAAAAAAAAGAAATAGCTTAATTTTTTGGTAACGGATATGGGAACCATAGACACAGTTCTAAGGTCTAATTTATAAGACAAGGTATATTCAGAGAAGTCCAGCTTCCACCCTATCCCTCTACCCTTCTTCTTCTTCTCCATTTCTTCCCCTAGTTTTAGTTCATCCTTTCATTAAAAAACAAAACAAAAACAAAAAATAGATATTCTCTCCTTGCCTTCTTAGGTAAACGGTAGCATACTATACATTTTCTCTGTTGCCTTCTACGCTAAGTAACATATCCTGCAGATCACCTGATAGTAGCATGTGGAGATATTCTGCATTCCTTCTGCAGCTGCACAGTGCTCTAATTGTGCATTTACGTAGTAGTCCAACCAGCTTCCATAATCGATTTTGTTTTAATATAATGGAATTCTTTTAGTTTTACTAGTTCTAAAACTTCACAATTCCTTTATGTTCTTATGGCTTTGTGTGTAATAGTAAATACTTGTTAAAATGAAACTTTATTTTCTATTTATTTAAGCTGACATAATTGTATGTTTATAGAATACATAGTGATGTTTTGATACAATGTGTAGTGATCTGATCAGGGTAATTAGCATATCCATTGTCTCAAACATTTATGGCTTCTTTGTGTTGAGAACATTCAATGTCCTCCTCCTAGCTATTTGAAACTATGTATTACTGTTAACTATAGTCATCCCATAGTGCTATAGAACACCAGAACTTATTTCTCCCATCTAGCTGTAATTTTGAAACTTTAGTTTTAAAACATCTCAAAAAGAGCTTTTCAAACTTAATTTATATTTTCTTGTGGCTGCGTTTATCCACAACTAATTATTTGACCATGGTAATAATTTTTAACATAGCTTATATGTGTTATCTCAAATTAGAACACAGAATATGTTGTATCAGCATAAGTAGACGTAGAGTTAAACTAGTTATCTCATCTTTGTAGAGAGCTTTATGGTCTTAAAAGTATGTGTAGTCATGTATTTTGATTTAATATGTTATCCTAAACCAGACTAATAGTCTGCTGACCCAAATATATATCCAATTTGGCCTACTAAAAAGAAAATAATAAATATAACTCAACTTTCTACACAAAACCTTGATTTTTTTAAAAGTTTAATTTAAAAAGGGGCTTATAGTAAGACCTCAGATTTTATTTTATAGAAATCATTTCAGCTCATCCCCTTTAACTGAAAATAACTATTGGGAAATAGTTCTAGTAAAATTAGTTCATCAATATTGCACCTTAGAATTGGAGTCAGATTTTATTTTAATGTTCAGGCTCCACCATTTTTTCTTTAGCCTTTTTCATCTTATATTAACAGGAATTTTCTTTCTCAAAAACAATCTGATTACATCATAATTATTTTCAGTCCCATTTATTTATTTCCAATTTAATTTGTCAAAGAAAATGACATGCAGTGATTTCACCTTAGATGTGCAAGTGGCTGTGTCCACATAGGGATTATTGACACTGTTTGAGCGTGGACTCTTACAGGACAATCTTCAGCTGACTTTAATTTACTTAAGAAGGAAGGAGATTTTCTGGCACTGCTATAGGACTTGTTTTTGTCTATTTAGTCTCTCTAGGTTGTTATAATAATATAAATCTTTTAAATACCTCTAAAATGATTTAGTCAAAAGTCTCATTGCCATTAAGACTGTCTTATTTATTGAGAATGCTCTGCCAATATTCAGCTTCTATAAAAGTTACTTGGGCTGTCTGTGTGGTTGACTTTCTTTTGCTTGTCTTCTAGTGCATTCCACTCTTCGTTCAACTTGTTTTGGAGAGATTAACTCGAGGGGTCAAAACTAGTGAGCTTCGTACTATGTGTCTTCAGGTTGCAATTGCTGCCTTGTACTACAACCCTGATTTGCTGCTACATACTTTAGAACGAATTCAGTTGCCTCACAACCCTGGACCTATCACTGTACAGTTTATAAATCAATGGATGAATGATACAGATTGTTTTCTTGGGTATGTGTCTTTTGGATTTTACACTGCTTTTCTGTTTCTGGAAAGTTTGCTTTTTAATATTTGTGTATAATAGCATGTACAAAGATAATTTTCATGTCTTAGGAATTATTTTTAGTGTATTGTTAATATTTAATTTTTAGAGGATTAAGAATGCATTTCAGCAGGGTAATCTAGTGGAAAGAATGCAGCCTCTGAAAATTTGATGTAGCCCTTTCCCGCTTTTATTTTTTTTATTTATTTTTTTTAAACACAAGTGTATCATTGTATCTCTAGGCAACAAGAATTAGTTGTCTGTCTGGGTTCCATGATTAAGTGTCAGTGGGTAAAAACATTCTAAATGGAGTTGGATTTCTAAGGATGGTACCCCTCTGGCAAAGATAAAATGTAATGTCACAGAATGTTTAACTCTTTGCAGATCTCAGGGATGCCTGTTCTCAAAAGTGGAGTCAGAAGGCTTGTTATTTGTAGCCCAGGTGCTGCCCCAGTAGGAGAATTTGGTTTTATGTGAAGCACTCTTCCTAGTTTTCAAAAATAGGAAGAGTGAGGCCGGGCGCGGTGGCTCCCATCTGTAATCCCAGCACTTTGGGAGGCCGAGGCGGGTGGATCACGAGGTCAGGAGATCGAGACCATTCTGGCTAACACGGTGAAACCCCATCTCTACTAAAAAAGCACACAAAAAAGCTAGCAGGGCGTGGTGGTGGGCACCTGTAGTCCCAGCTACTCGGGAGGCTGAGGCAGGAGAATGGCATGAACCTGGGAGGCGGAGCTTGCAGTGAGCTGAGATCGTGCCACTGCACTCCAGCCTGGGCGACAGAGTGAGACTCCATCTCAAAAAAATAGGAAGAGTGAGATTCCAACTAGTGTTATGTGCCCACCTCAGGTCACCCAACACAGATTAGTGATTGTGTTATGCTAGAAATTGAGCTAGCTGTCTAATTTGTTTTAAAACACTATCTAATATCTAACTGGAAATTAATAGTATTCTTCTTAAGTTTTGTGAGAGATCATTTAGAAAAATTTCCTGAGAGGAACAGACTCCCCACAGTGGTTAAGACACTGCTGCCACAGGCAGGAGAAGATGGAGGCCTGGATTAGGGTGGGGCGTTAGGAATGGGGGAACATATTTACAAGCTGCTATGCGTGTTCTAATTTTTCTACTTGCAGGACACTGGAATTAATCCCTGATTGAGATTTGTTATTAAAACCTTGAAGGGAAGAACATACTATCAAAGAAATTGTTGTTAAAGTTATCTCTGAGAAAGATTTAGGGAGTAGAGATTTGGTAATTTAAAGTTAAGCGGTTGGTTCTCTTATGTGTTTATTAGCACTGGAAGCAGTCTCCCTGCTATTGTGTAGACTGGGAGTCCTTGGGTTGTGCTTCCTTGGATTCTTTCGAGCTCTGCTTGATAATCCTCTTTTCTGCTGTGATCCGTGTGGCATGTATTTAGGGGTTGCATGGATGAGAAGGTCCTCAGGTCAAGTACAGTTCTGTTATAGCGTACTAGTTGGGCATTAGTGACTTGAATCAATCAAGGAATGCAAATAATGAAGAATAACAGAAGCCTGTAGAATATTCATTATTGGATTTGTTATATTATTCGCACTTTAAACACATTGAATCGCTGCAAGTGAATTTTTTATTCACACAATTTTAAGAATGTTTTGCCAATGTAATCTTTTAGTTCTTAATTTTTTAGTTTTAAGCAACTTAGAGGAAGCATTTAGTAGAAAAATGTCTAATGTTTACTGGTCAAACTTTTTTTCTTTCTGAATAAAATTTTCCTTGTCCTTATATTTTTCTTATGCTATTTTATAGCACAGGAGTTTAGTAGACTGCTTAAATTAAGTTCAGCTTACTATCTTACTAGATGCTGAGTTTTTGAAACATCTTTCACCTCTTAGGGTTTGGGTAGATTATGTGTGCTGAGAAACCTTGTAGATCAATCTAATGTTGGAAGAGTCTAAGAAACTCTTCATTCCCCCCAACCATTGTATAGGACTTTTATGCTGTCAAATATAGGTATTTCTGCTTTATTAAAACTCCTTATGCCGAGGCCCATATATAACATTTATATTAATCATAAATTGATATTACAGCAAGATTCACCATGTTAATTGCAGACTCCCAATAGGTCTTTGAAAATAATTGGTTTACAAAATTTGATTTACATAGCATTTCATACAGTACAAAACAGGGAATGTCTCTGTATGATACCAACAGATGAACCTTAGAGTATGCCTTGGACATTTCTTTTTGTAGTTTCTCCAGAATTTGTTCTTTATTCCACTTCTCATGTCTACATTTTTTTTTTCTTCAAAATTTGCAGGCATCATGACCGGAAGATGTGTATAATAGGACTGAGTATCCTTTTGGAATTGCAAAATCGACCTCCTGCAGTAGATGCTGTGGTGGGACAGATTGTTCCCTCAATTCTTTTCCTTTTCCTTGGCCTAAAGCAGGTCTGTGCTACTAGACAACTGGTAAACCGGGAAGATCGTTCAAAAGCAGAGAAAGCTGATATGGAAGAAAATGGTAAAGTCTTCTAATTGAAATTAATGTTACAATTGATTTTGATTTGTGTATGCATTTTATATGAATACTAGTCTATATGGAGACATTAAACAGATTTACATTCTTCGGCCTGCTACACATATAACAAATATTTTGGGCTTGGTTGACTTGCTATTAATTGTATCATGCTATATAAATTTAGATTTATGCACCTTCTGACACCTAATATACTCAGCGGTTTTTTTTATGGAGCCTAATAGATGCTGTTACACATTAGGAAACACATTTATAACAATCAAATGGTCTTGACTGTAAGTTAGCAATCTAGTATCTAACTTTCTTGTTTGTGCTAACAGCCTCATCAAGGCAGTAGCCATGAGTTAAATGAATCATTACATTAAGAGCTGAAGTGTTAGTACCACAGATTAGTAGAGAGTGTCTTTTTTTTCTTTTTCTGGAATGGTTCTTAGGTGACTCATTAGCAAAAATTACATTTGAGAGACGTCCATATTTGTGATTTAAATATAAATTAAGGTAAAGTACATAAATGAAGTGGATATACTTGAGAATCAGAATAAGATTGTTAGAGTTGAATATTAGACCTTTGTTTTGTTTAATGATGAGATTGCGGAGCTACTTGCTAGAGACTAGGAAGTAGCATTCTCCTATTCCAGGTGGATTTTTTCCTCTCCTGGTTAAAAACAGATACTTTGTTAGCTGAGAAAAATCAGAACTCTTCCTGGTAAACATACAGCTCTATTTTTGATGCTAAATTCTGTGATTTTAGCATGGATAGATTTAAAACACTTTTAACTGGCATCATCCCAGTTTGTTCATATACCAGAGATTATAAACTACCCTTTTTCTCCCCTCCACAGCACAAAATACAGCTTCTAATTTGTTTTTCTGAAATCTGTGTAGGTCTTTTGAAGAAATGCTTCTTTATTAGAAGTGTTGCATGTGTGATTTTTGTTTTGTTTTGTTTTGTTTTTAGCTAACTGTGTGTCAACAGTTGTAGAATTCTTTTATTTTTTCCAGTATGTTATGATCTCTAATTTCTTGTTTTGGCAACTCTTTATTGGCTTATACTGTATGGCTTGAGGGAAAATTTTCTGGTAATATCCCACACTTTCTTGTACTTCCTACTAAAGTATGGAATGATTAACTAGTGGAGGTATTTCTCAGTCTTTTTGTATTAATAGTTATAATTTGCCATGCATTTTTTCGTGTATTTGGTCCAAACTCTGGTTAAGTGCCTTATTCCTAAAACTACCTAGTTCAATCTACCTGCTTCAATATGGTGTGTCTAATAGAACTAGTTTTAGGTTAATATTACCTGGTTTGGGTTTACTCCAGGATTTCTCTCTTATCTTGATTTTTGTTCTGCATTTACTGCCTTCCTGTTCCAGTATTTCAGTTACAATCTAACTGCTAGGAACAGATTGACACTGAAAATAGATACAGAATCCATGGTGATACATAATGTAGTTCAAGTTTTTAACTTTTCAAGCGACATGTAGCTATTTTTCTTTACATTTTTGCTATTTCTTTTTATTATAAATTAGCAAATTATATATTTATGGAGTACAAAGTGATGTTATGATTTGTGAATATAATGCGGAATGATTAAATCAAACTAATATATCCATCACCTTAAATACCCTTTTTAATGGTGGGAACATTTGAAATTTACAATCTTGCCAATTTTGAAATGTACATATACTATTAACTGTATTCACCATGCTGTACAATAGATACCAAAACAAAACAAAACAAAACAAAAACCTAATTCTTCCTGAGACTTTGTACCCTTTTACCAACATTCCCATATTCCCACCACCTCTAGCCTCTGGTAACCACCATTCTATTCTCTACTTCTATGAGTTTGATTGTTTTAGATTCTATGTATAAGTGAGAACAGGCAGTATGTGTCTTTCTGTGCCTGGCTTATTTCACTTATCATAATGTCCAAGTTCATCAGTGTTGTTGGAATTGACAGAATTACCTTTTTAAAAGCTGAATAGTGTTTCATTTTAAAGAATCCACATTTTCTTTATTCATCCGTTGTTGATGGACACTTAGGTTGATTCTGTAACTTGGCTATTGTGAATAATGCTGCGATGAACACAGGGCTGCTGACATCTGTTCTACGTATTGATTTAAAATATTTTAGATATATATCCTGAAGTGGGATGGCTGGATCTGTATTTTTACTGTTTCTACTAGCAGAAATGATCTCATTTGGGCATTTCTAAGCACTTTATAATCAACTCAGTTAATTAAGAGGACTGAATTCTCAATAGGAAGTCATTGTTTAAAACACATGCACTGACCGTACAGTCACTTTTTTTTTAAACAAAGGTAATTTTGAAATCTGCAATTGAATAATATTCTTGTATTAATGAACTTGCATAGCCTAACAGTAGTAATGTTCATCTGGATAACAGGTTTAGGGAACTTGTTTTCAGTGAGGAGGATAAGGACATTCTCAACTTAGCAAACTCTACAGTAAAGATAAGGTTTATTTATTTTATTTTTTATTTTTATTTTTTGACTCTCCTCTTTAGACCAGGGATAAGATTTATTTTTATTAAAATTTTGTGGAAGATTTTTTCCTTTCCAGAGTGTAGTTTTATAGTCTTTGGTTTTTGTCGTGAAGTTTTATATTTTGTCCTTATGTGTTTTGATTCCTTTTAAATAATTAATGGGTTCACAGAGGAGATTTCAAGTGATGAAGAGGAGACAAATGTAACTGCTCAAGCAATGCAGTCAAATAATGGAAGAGGTGAAGATGAGGAGGAGGAAGATGATGACTGGGATGAAGAAGTATTGGAAGAAACCGCGCTTGAGGGGTTCAGTACTCCACTTGACCTTGACAATAGTGTGGATGAATATCAGTTTTTTACACAAGCTCTGATAAGTATGTCTTTACTTCCCCACATCTTCTGATATTTTTTTTTCTAAACTCTTTCTTCATTTCTTCCTGTTTTGATATTTGCCCAAGATTGGTCTAGGTTCTTTTAAAAATTTTTTTGTTTATTCCTTATGATAGAAATCCCCAAACATACATACATGAAATGATAGAAATTAAAATAATGAAACACCTATCACCCAATCCTAGCAGCTTTCATCATTGAGAAGTAGCAGGGTGAGCCTGTATGTTATCCTTGCAAAAGTAATATGTGGAGTATCTGTGTATATTGTTCATCCTTTAGGCATAAATGGGCAAGCATTTTTATAGCAAAGAATGAAGTGTTTCAGGCATACATTGCTTAAAAATTGTGGCTAACAACCTACTAGTTATTCACAATCCCTAGAATGAAATTGCTGCCGTAAGAGGGTGACTTTTTACTTTGTAAGTAATTTGCCAATTTTATACAACAAAGAACAGTATAATTACAGTTACAGGACTCATAAATGATTCGGGGGGAGAAAATATTTGCCACATATGCATAATAGGCATAATGTACACAGTGTACAGAGGCCATCCTCAGATACATAAGACCAGTAACCTAGTAGAAAATGGAAATGGAAAATTTACAGAATAAAAACAAGCCAATGAGGATATTTAGAAAATTATTAATCAAATAAATTATTTTAAATCTCATTAATATAGATTATTTGTTTTATGGTTAGATAGTATTTCCATAGTTACATTGTAATTTAGTTCCACTGTGGGACATTTAAGATTGTTTCCAATGTTTTTACCATTATGAGGGTTATTAAAATGAACATCCTTACATGTAAATGTTTTTACTAATAAGGCAATATTAGCTTAATATATTGGCATTTTTTAGTGTTGCTACAAATAACATTAATGAAGAAAAAACTACCTAGATGTTCTTATTGAAATTCAGAGGAATTGGAGGCAGAGAACACAGGAAACTATATTCCAAAGCATGGGAAACGTAACAGCATAAACGTGGAGATGGAAATATGGAGGATGTGGCCTAGTGTAGTTCCAGACATGGGTGTGTCATAATCACCAAGGAGGCTTTTAGGTCTTGAGTAGGATCTCAGGAGATGTATTTTTAAAGATGCTTCTCAAGTGACAAGCAACTTTAAACCAGCATGTAGGGGCCACTGCTTAAAGACTGTGAAGGAACGCAGTTGGGCTGGGCTATAGTGGCCTTGAATTCTGGACTGAGGTGGTCCATCCCATTGCCCATTGGAATAGCGTTGAAAGTTGTGTTCTGAGGCGGTGACCTTTTAGATGTGGTAATTCACTTCAGGGGAGTTACCCGGTGATGGATGATGTGCAGAAAAAACTGGAAAGGACTAGATGTGGGAGCCAAGTGTTAGAGGTTCACTTTATTAATTTAGATGTATAGAGACCTGGAATGGGGAGGGTGACATTTGATGGAAAGCAGCATACAGATGAAAGACATTAAGAAAGAAGCAGAGCTTTGGGTGTGGAGAGGGCATGCTCAGGGATGTTAAGGATGCACAGTAGTGGACTGGGAGACTAATAGAACTGGTGAGATAAATGGAGAGATAGAAGGTTTGGGAGGAAATTGTTAAATTTGGTTTTAGTTGTGTTGAGTTTGAGATGAGCTATTCAAATGGAACAGTCCAGGAGGCTTAGGGGAAGGTTTTTCCTAGAGGTACAGATTTGAATCCTTGGGGTGGTAGCAATACTAAAGCTGCAGGTAGTATGAAAATTCCAGAGGAAAATGGTAACAAGTGAGTACTGGTGTTCTGGATTTTAGAGAACATCCATAGAAGACAGCAAAGGAGACAGAGAACTAGGCAGACTAGAGATTTGCAATGTCCTAACCTTCCTTTGATTTCCCACATAGCTGGGTACTAAGTGGGTACTCAGAAATAATCCTTTGTTGGCGTAAGTTTCATTACCTTGTGTGTGTTGTAGTACTGTACTCTTTGTCTCTTACTGTCTGGGATAATTTCTTTGTAATTTGATCATGTTACTACTTGTTCTGTAAATTAATAGTCGCTGTACCCTCCTGTCTTTTCCTCCCAAAATGCAACAGCTGTGCAGAGTCGAGATGCAGCCTGGTACCAGCTGCTGATGGCACCACTCAGCGAGGATCAGAGGACAGCACTGCAGGAGGTGTACACACTGGCAGAGCACCGACGGACGGTGGCAGGTCAGCCAGAGTAACCTCCAGAGTGGAGTGCATGTGTCAGAGTGCCAACAGACAGCCTTATTTGATGAGCCAGGTGGCACCTAAACACTGTTTTTGAAATTGTTAGAGACTTACCCTTTAAGATAATAAGGAATTGTCATTATTGTATGATTGTTTTAATCACTCATGATGTCTTAGCTTTGCAAAAACCTGCACATTAATATGTATTTCCTAGTGGTGTTCTCATTCACATTCTTATCCTATGTTGGAGGCAAAGGTACAAAGTAAGGGTTGGGATAAGTCTTGCCGAGGGAGACTTAATCAGTTGGATCACTCCCCTAAACATTTCAACCGTGGGCCAAAGGGACTTGACGAATTCTTGCAAGGAGCTTGTATTCCTGGAAATGGAATGCTCTCTATTTCTCATTGTTGGGCTTTATTTGACATTGTTTCTTGTTGTTGATTTTCAGTTTTTAAGCTGGAGGAATTACTCTGTGTTGATTATTGTAGTTACTTGTAGATTGTCATTGGAAAAGATTTTGTAGTTACAAAAAAATTTTAGTAGGAAACATGGCAAACTAGACATCTAGAGTTTAGAATGCTGGCTCTTCTGCATGGACTTAGATTTTCAGTTCTGTGCAGATTCTCAGTCAGCCTTCCTGATATGAGAAGTCTGGGCCCCCTTTCAGCAGTAGAGACAGTGAAGTAGAATCCACCTCTGAGACGTGTTTTCTTTTCACTCGTTTTTTGCAGATTTTCCGATGGTAGTGAACATACCACCTTATTGACATAGGTCTGTTATTCTTAGTTATTCTTTGGCAGGATAACTAATACTACCAGTCACATTCTTTCACAGTTCTAAGCATATAAAGAATCTGGCTCCTTTGAGTCATCTCCAACTTTGTCACCTTAAGCATTCTTTTTTTTTCTTCTCCCCTTTTCTTTTGAAAAATGCTAGAGGCAAAGAAGAAGATTGAACAACAGGGAGGCTTCACCTTTGAAAACAAAGGAGTCCTCTCCGCATTTAATTTTGGGACTGTGCCCAGCAACAACTGAAGGAAAGAACATCAGCTGACCAAATGTCATCGCTGCATTTTATTTCACAAGAGGAGTGTGAGGGTCAAGGGGATGAAATGAGGGGCTGCTTTTAGGGCCCTCCTGCTGTGCCAGTTACCATCTGGCATTAGGCAGCACTTTTATCTACTCTTTCCCCTTTGACCTTTGTCACCCTGAAATATATATTTTAAACAGCTACTGTAAGTATGAAATGAAAGAAAAACAATCATTGGACGGAAAAGGACAACCCATATGTTCCAAAGGCTGAATGCCCAAGGTTGTTTTAGAGGATTGGATAGACTTGCACGTCTCAGGTTTTTGCCATGCAGAATCAATGGATTTATGCGGATAACAGTGCCTTCTGTTGTACATGAATTATCAGAAAAAAATTTTTGGAGTGCATTGCAATTTTTTTTAAAGCATAAAACATATTTCTAGATACAACATAAACCTTGGTTATATGTCAACTATTCTGCATTTTACTCTGTGAATTTATTGTTAGGCAGTTACTGCAAGTCACTCTGGTTTCAAAATCTTCACGGCTCCCTCTGCTCACCCTGCTGCTGGGGGGCTTTTTTCAGGGGTTGTATTATAAAATATGCACTGGCTGTGGTTTTTCATAAGATGTTTTGTGGCTTTTTAAAGAAGTGTCTTACTCCCTCTTCTCTCATTTTTTTCTGCCTTGAAAAGGGGTGGTATTTCTTTTGGGGTCAACAAATACACATATCAGTTTCACTCCTAACCTTGTAAGTTCAGGACTCATTTTCTTGGCAGCAAGTGGCAGGGGCTCTTTAGTCACTGGAGTTAACAGTAAGTCTGAGTATATTCTGAATAATGTAATTATGCAATTAATTGATAATCATACCTAAAGCACATTGAACTTCTAAGAGACAGGTGCTACGTAAGCACACTGTCTTTCTGGATGGGGACTTGTATTTTAAATAACTTATCATTCCAGCTATGTTGGACTAGGGTCCAAAGCATTTTATAATATTTTTTTTTAATCTAGGAAAAAGACCCAAACAAATCTAACTTCTTGCTTTCTCACCTATTTGAATTTTCTCCTACCTAATTTGTTTGTGTCTTTATTATAGCTCAGTTTGACTTCTCAAACTTTTCAAGGGTTGGGGCAGCTGCACTTTTAGGTTGCCTATAGGAAATATTGCATATGGAGATTACAGTGTTTTTCTGACCTAGTTCAAGACCAGAACATGGGTCATAGGGTTTTTATTCAGCAAAATGAAAACGTATCTTCAGAACTTAACATATTACTGGATGTGATACAGATTTTGCTTTCTGTGGAATTGAAAATTCACAAAAATTCACAGCTTAAATTTCCCATCAGTGACTGGAGGAATTTTTTTCAGGTGCTTCCTATATTACCATCCCTCATGCATATTAACTCTTTAGAATTTTAGGTTAAGTGATGTCTATAGAAGTAGCCTGGAAAACCATGAGTTTTGGAGTTCAGTGACCCCCTGCTTTCCTCTGCTCCTCCCTTCCCAAGGCATTGAAGCTGAATGTGCCAACTGGCAGTTAGAAGCGAAAGATGGCATTGGGAGAAATTTTAGAGAGCTTTCAAACTCTTTATTCTCATGTTCCACATGGTCTAATTTTAACATAAATAATATGCCTTCACACTGGATTGTAAAAGGCATGTGATTTTTGAGATTTTATTTTGTGATGTATTGTCTTCTGCAGTATTAAAGGGAAAGAGATATTAATGTGCATTACCCTATCTTGTTTTTGAAGCCAGGGTAGTTGTATGATTTTGTTACCAGCAGTGCTAACCTGAATGTGACCTGGTTACCTTGGAAATGCAGGAACTTATATGAATGTACTATAAAATAAAATGCGGACTGATTCCCAGGATTCTGAACTTTTGTGTGTGAAATGTTTTCTGAAATGTGGAGGTGCTTTAAGCAGTTGATAATAACCCATCAGTATGTTTTCCTGACACCTGGTGACCTGAAGCAAGGTGGACTGTAGGTCTGGGAGGGTGACCAGGGCTTATCAGGAACAGCTAATACATGGGGAGAAGTAGGAAGTGAAAGCCCATCTCATGAACCAGGAGGTCCGCACAGAAGAGTGTTGGAGCTCTGGAAAGGCACAGGGCGTTCAACCACAGCAGGACCTCGAAGGAAAGGAAGATGTCACTAAAATGGTGCAATTTTCTGATGGGTCTACTATCAAATTATTACTGGTCAAAACTGGACTGGTAATACGGTAATGGATATGTTCTTAGAAATGCTTCATGGGCATTTTGTTATTGTGTGAGCATCCTAGAGTCTGCTTACACAAACCTAGATGGTGTAGCTTACTACGCACCTAGGCTACGTGGGATAGCCTATTGCTCCTTGACTACAAACCTGTACAGCATGTTACTGTACTATACTGAATACTATAGGCAATTGTAACACAATGGTAAGTAATTATGTATCTAAACACAAAAGGTACACTAGAAATGTGGTATAAAAGTTAAAAATGCATGAATGGAGCTTGCAGGACTGAAAGCTGCTTTGAGCGAGTGAGTGGTGAGTGAACATGAATGTTTAGGACATTGCTGCAGCTGCACACGACTGTAGACTTTATAAAACTGTATACTTAGGCTACACTAAATTTATAAAACAATTTTCTTCAATAATCTTAGCTTACTGTAACTTGTGAACTTTTAACTTTTTAGCTCTTTTGTAATAACACTTAGCTTAAATCACATTGTACAGCTGTACAAAAACATTTTCCTTTTAAATATCTTTATTCTATAAGCTTTTTTCTATTTTTAAAATTTGTTTACTTTTTAAACTTTATTAGCGACTAAGACACACATTAGCATAGGCCTACATAGAGTCAGGATCACCAATATCCCTGTCTTCCACCTCCACATCTTGTCCCCCTGGAAGGTCTTAAGGGGCAGTAACATGTATGGAGCTGTCATCTCCTATGTAGCAATGCCTCTTTCTGGAACACCTACTGAAGGACCTACCTGAGGCTGTTTCACAGTTAACTTTTTTAATAAGTAGGAGTATGCACTAAAATAACAAGTATAGTAAGTACTAGGTGATAGGAATTCTCCAGCTCCATTCTCTTATGTGCATACTGTCATTTATGTAGTCCATTATTGACTGAAAGGTCATGGGGCACATACTTGTACTTGCATGATGGTAAGACCCATTACATTGTTAATCAGTGAAGATTCCTAAGAAAACAGTTATTTATTTTTTTTATTATACTTTAAGTTTTAGGGTACATGTGCACATTGTGCAGGTTAGTTACATATGTATACATGTGCCATGCTGGTGCGCTGCACTCACTAACTCGTCATCTAGCATTAGGTATATCTCCCAATGCTATCCCTCCCCCCTCCCCCCACCCCACCACAGTCCAGAGTGTGATATTC
Organism: Homo sapiens; assembly: GCF_000001405.40. NCBI lineage: Eukaryota > Metazoa > Chordata > Mammalia > Primates > Hominidae > Homo > Homo sapiens. The sequence goes on along the minus strand of NC_000012.12, from coordinate 30,627,462 downwards.
CCCTTCCTGTGTCCATGTGATCTCATTGTTCAATTCCCAGCTATGAGTGAGAATATGCGGTGTTTGGTTTTTTGTTCTTGCGATAGGAAAACAGTTATTTTAAATTGTCATTAAGTAATATAATGAATTATAGTACAGTTTTCTGTTTAGCAAGGGAGACTGAATAATCCAGGCATAAAAGGGAAACTTGGCCATGTATTAGGACCATGTGCGTGCAAGTGTGTGTATGCATGAATGTTTCGTGCATTAAAAATTATTCCAGATGAGCCTTAAATAGCAGTCTTTTCTGTTCCACCTTACTCTCTCCGTTGAGACTGCTGTACAAATGCTGCCTGGGTGGATTGGGAAATTTCTAGGCAGTCTGCTAGCAAGAAAGGCTGCAAAATCAATAAATAAAGAGATGGCTTATACTCTGTAGATAGACTATGTTTGAGGAAGAAGCACAAAGGGCAACTATGGCTGTCTCACTTTGTTGCCCAGGCTGGAATGCAATGGTGCGATCACAATTCACTGCAGCTTGATTTCATGGGGTCAAGTGAGTGATTCTACATTAGCTTCCTGAGTAGCTGGGAGTACAGGCAAGCACCACCATGCTTGGCTATTTTTTAAATTTTTTGTAGAGACAGGGACTCAATATGTTGCCCAGGCTTGTCTCGAACTCCTGGCCTTGAACTATCTTTCCACCCTGGCCTCACAAAGAGCTGGAATTGGAAGTGTGAGGCCACCTGGCCACCCTAAGTAATTTGGCCCTTCCTCAGCTATCTCACTGTGTGCAACTTCTTGGAAAGTACGCTCCAGTTGCCTTTTTTCACTGCCTCCAATTCAGTGGTTTCTTCTTCCAATTGGTCCCTGGGCTTTTCTTTGATTGAAAGTTTTAAATTACTGATTCAGTCTCCTTATTTGTTATTGATCTGTTCAGGCTTTCTATTTCTTCTTGATTCAATCTTGGTAGCTTGTATGTTTCTAGGAATTTACTCATTTCTTCTAGGTTGTCCAATGTGTTAACATGTAATTGTTCATATTAGTTCCTTTTAAAAATTTCTTTGGCATTGGTTATATCTCCTATTTCTGATTTTATCTTATTTTTTCCTAGTTTAGTTAAGGGTTTGTTGATTTTGATTATCTTTTTTAAAAAACTTTTCAGTTTGTCGATTTTTCTTTTGTTTTCTGGTCTTCATTTATTTCTGCTCTAGTCTTTATTATTTCCTTCTTTCTGCTAGTTTTGGGCTTATTTCTTTTTCTAGTTCCTTCAGGTATGATGTTAGGTTGTTTGAGATCTTTTTTAATGTAGACATTTATACACTTTTTTAATGTAGACATTTATACACTTCCATTTCAGCACTGCTTTTGCCGCCTCCCATAAGTTTTGGCATGTTATGTTTTTGTTTGTCTCACAATATCTTCTAATTTTTAAAATTTCTTCTTTGACCCAATGGTTGAATATATTGTTTAGTTTCCATGTATTTGTGAATTTTTCCAGTTTTCTTTTATTGATTTCTAGTTTCATTTCTTTGTAGTCAAAAAAGATAATTGAAATTATTTCAGTCTTCTTAAATTTGTCAGAACTTGTTTTGTGACCTTGCATGTAATCTATCTTGGAGAATCTTTCATGTGCAGTTGAGAGGAATTTTTATTCTGCTGCCGTTAGGTAGAAGGTTCCGTACATGTCTGTTAGCTCCATTTGGCCTATAGTGTTATTCAAAACCACTGTTTCTTTATTTCTCTAATGTCTGGATGAACTATTATTGAAAGTGGGGTATTGAAGTCTCCTAATACATTCTACTCCTATTTCTCCCTTCATATTTATCAATGTGTGCTTTATATATATAGGCGCTCTGATGTTGGGTGCATATATAATTGTTACGTCTTCCTGTTGAATTGACCCTTTTATCATTATGTAATGACCTTCTTTGTCTCTTGTGACAGTTTTTGACTTGAAGTCTTTTTGTCTAATATAAGAAAAGCTGCTTACGCTCTGTTTTGGTGACCATTTGCATGATATATCTTGTTTCATCCCTTCACTTTCAGCCTACGTGTGTCCTTAAAGCTAAAGTGAGTCTTTTGTAGACACCCTATAATTAGATCTTGCTTTTTAATCCATTCAGCTACTCTGTATCTTTGATTGGGGAATTTAATACATTTACATTTAAAGAAATTATTGATTGGTAAGAACTGACTACTGCCATTTTGTTCATTGGTTTCTGTTTTGTGGTTCTTTTGTTCCTCTCTTCCCCTCTTGCTGTCTTTGTGATTTGATAATTTTTTATGGTTATATACTCGGATTCTTTTCCCTTTCTTGTATCTGCTGAAGATTTTTTCTTTGTAGTTACTGTGAAGCTTGCATAACCCTCCTTAGAATTGTACCAGTCTATTTTGAGCTGATAACTTCAATCACATACAAAAACTACACTTTTACTCTCCCATTCCCCAGTTTGTTATTGATGTCAGAATTTGCTTTTTATGTTGTGTATCCATTAACCAATATTTTGTGGTTATATTCTTAATACTTTTGTCTTTTATGCTGGGGTTAAAAGTGATTTATGCACCACCATTACAATATTACATTATTCTGTATTTGTCTATGTATTTACCCTTAGCAGTGAGATTTATACTTTCATATGCTTTTGTGTTGCTATTTAGCAAGAAGCTGATTTTTTTATTAATACAAATTATGTACTTTTTTCAAAATAAAGAATTTGTTGTATGTATGTATTACACACAGATTTCCAAACCAGATAACCCAGTGTTGGCCAATCGCAGTAATCAAAACTACAAATTTAATTTCATAATTTTTAGCTCCTTGCAGCTGCTGCTGTCAGACAACCCTCAGCTGGGTGGTGTCAGGATTGGTAGCATTTTCAAATAAAACAAGAAATTTAACATCAATAGGTACCAGCAAGAAGTGTTTATTTCTTCATGAGGGTGTTGTGTACTTCGGGGGAATAAGACCAATTTTCATTTTGGTAGTTAAATGGGTTGCATTTGAAACCTTTGCTGTGAGGCACCATATTTCCAATGAGTGAAGTTTTAGACTCTTTACATTTGGTACCACAAGTACCATTAATGGGGTTGTGGCTGGGCAGTATAGTCAAGTGATTCTCTGAAGGCAGAAATAAATAAGCAGATCGTTTACTTTTTCAGTATAACTCCACTTGTTAGGCTTTTAGCCTCTTCTTTCAACATAGGTTTAATAAATAGGGAATAATCTTAACTAGCCACCACTGCCAGGTGGTGCTACTTCCCTTTCTGCTGTTTCATGATCCCACCACACTGTGTTAATCCTCACCAGTGGTTGTCCTGTGATTGGCTGCTGTATTATAGGCTGCGGTAAGCAGAATAGTGACTCCCGAACCACGACCCCCAAACACGCAAAGATGTCTACGTCCTAATCCTTGGAAACTGTAAAAATGTAACTTTACATGGCAAAGGGGAATTAAGATTCCAGATAGAATTCAGTTTGCTAATCAGCTGATCTTAAAACAGGGAGAGTATCCTGGGTTATCTACATGCACCCAATGTAATCATGGAGTTTCTTAAAAGTGGGAGAGGGAGGCAGAAGAGAAGGCTGGAGTGACAAGATTTGAGGACTGAGTCCATTATTGCTGATTTTGAAGACGGAGGAAGGGCACGGTGAGCCAACAAATGCAGGCAGCCTTTAGAAGCTGGAAAAGGCAAGGAAACAGTCTCCTAGAGTCTCCAGGATGAAATGTCGACCTACCAACACCTTCATTTTAGCCCAGTGAGACCCATCTAGGACTGCTGACCTCTAGAACTGTAAGACGATACATTTGTAGGTTGTAAGCCATTACGTTAGTGGTAATTTGTTACAGCAACAATAGAAAGTAAATATACAGACTGGTGGAGGACAGATGCAGGAGAATTCTCATCTTTGAAGACTGAAGTATTGATTAATATTTTGGGCTGGACATTTAAATTTCTAAATCAAGATTATGTTTTACAAATATTAAGTGATTTTGAGGCTTGTTTCCTAAGCATGATCAGAAAATCCTCAGGTCTGCTAGGGATTGTTATCTAAAAGCAGAGAAAAACTTTTTCCAGTGGATAAAATTTAAAGAGAGAATAGAAAACAAAAATAAATTTGCATTTTGATTACATCCCTTAGGCTGTGATTGTTTAATGTACTTCTTATAATAGTATCTAAACAAATGTAAAATATTATAAATGTAATATTTTCATTTATCAAATATCTCTTTAATCATTCAGCAAATATCCTGACAGTTTCTGAGCCTTGTTTGTAAGATTTCCTTTTAGTTCTGTGAGAACCTAGGATCCTTTCATTGAGTTCCTTTTCTACTTAAATTAGCTAGAGCTGGCTGCTGTTGCTTACAATGAACGTAGAACGCTAACTGAGGTAGGAGACACACTAGCACTTTGCATCTAGAGAGATGTGTGACTGCGGATAAATTATTCTTTGCTTGTGATATCCAGCCTCCCAGATGGCCCCCTGTGATTCTTGCTATCTCTTGACTAATTCCCTCACATTGTTCTATGGTTGGACTATGAGTTTAGAAGCATGCAGGAGAAGTTATGGGATGTCACTTCCAAGATTAGGTTATGAAAAACTGATTTCCTTCTTGGGTGCTTTATCTGATACTATTTGCTCTAATGTCATGGGTCATAAGCCATGTCATGAACAGCTTTGTGGAGAGGCCTACATCATTTGGAACTGAAGCCTCCTTCCAGTAGACATATGAGTCAACATGGAAGTAGATGCTTCAACCCTTGACAAGTCTTCATAAACTTAGCCCTGGCTTGACTACCACCTCATGAAGGCTCTGAGTCATAATTGCCCAACTAAGTCACTGCTGGATTCCTGACTCTCAGAAACTGTCAGATAATTATTGTTTTGAGCTGCTAAATTTGGGGACCATTTGTTATGCTAGTATGGATAACTAATACACGTTCATAAACCCACTTTGAGAGGAGATAAGGCAGGGTAAAGGATGGAGCATTTTTTTCTTTTTTATGTTTCTAAAGAGGAATTTTTTATGCACTGTGAAGCTTGAGAAAGCTGGTCAGATTATCTGTATCTATGTAAGGCTTAACTATGACTGCAGAAATTTGGGAATTAGCCCTTCTGACAATTTAAGAAAGGGATTTGAAATTAATTAGACACCTATTATTAAACAGGCATTTCATTATGTACTGTTTCAGTCACTTTTGCTGCATAACAAATCACCCCAAAATTTGCGGGCTTAAAAAAAAGTAATTTTCCCCCTTCCCTGTTCTGTGGATTGATCAGGTGTTTTTTTTTTTTTTTTTGGCATTGTCAGGGTTCACTCCCACAGCTGCATTTAGCTGCTTGATTGCCTGGGGCTGGGCTCATCTGAGTCAACTAGGCCCCTCTCTCCATGTAGTCATTCATCCTCAAGGAGAAAGACCAAAGTTTTTCACATGATGACGGCCACTTCACAAGACAGTGTAAATAGAAGCTGCCTGACTTGTTATGGTCTAGCCTTTGAAGTCACAGTATCATTTAGGTTGCATTCAATTTTTTTTTTTTTTTTTTGAGATAGGGTCTCTGTCACCTAGGCTGAAGTGCAGTGGCGTGATCACAGCTCACTGCAACCTCTGCCTCCCAGGCTCAAGTGATCCTCCTACCTCAGCCTCCCAAGTAGCTGGGACTACAGGCACATGGCACCATGCCAGGCTAACTTTTTGTGTTTTTTGTAAAGATGGGGTTTCACCATGTTGCCCAGGCTGGTCTTGAACTCCTGGGCTCAAGTGATCCACATGCCTTGGCCTCCCAAGTTGCTGCGATTACAAGCGTGAGCTACTGTGCCTGGCCTAGGCTAAATTCTATTATAATAAAACAAGTTCAGCTCAGATTAAAGGGGTAGAGAAGTAGATTCTACCTCTTGATGGGTGGGGTGGCAAAGTCACTTTGCAAAAGCAGGTGGACACAGGATATTGTAGTTCATTGGGAGCCATTATAGTAAAAATATACCACAATCTGCATTCTCTCCCAGTAATTCAAGTCCCTTCCCAAGACTCCCAAAGTCTCATCCAGTTATGGCATCATACTCAAAATCCATTATTTTATAATCTGTCTGCATTAGGTCCAAAAGCAGTATGTGTTCTTCTTGACGCAGACACCAGAGAACTAAAAGAAGTTTGCTGCCCTCCTCACTTCCATCCAACACACAAAGGTGAGGCAGAGAGAGAATATTCACATAGATATTCTCATTTTAAAAATGTGAGGAATGGAAGGTACTTAGCAATGATTAGCCTGTAGGAATTTTGAAATCTATCTGGACACACATTGCCAGGACCCATTCCTTTGGTGACAGGGAATACTTGATGAGAACTCACTTTGCTTCCTTGGAGTGATTGTCTAGTCCTGTTTTTTTTTTTTCCCAGCTTTTGGCTCTGCTGTGATATTTGGGTTCTGCCTTCCGAGATGTTTTTCCTTTTCAATAAAAATGGCCCATCTTTGTAGCTGAGTAGACTTCCCAGCTTGTTTACCAACTATAAAAAATTTAGCCCCAAACTCTCTTCATTGTGAATGGTCTTTGTCCCTTCTAATTCAAACCAGTGGTGCTCTCACCAATATAATAATCTCAGAAACTGTGTGGGTTTGCTGCGTGTCTTATTGGGGTTTACTCCATACCCCAAAGCCATAATTCTTTTTGAGACAAACCTCTCTAATTTGTCCCACAGGTGAGACAATGTTTTAAGGTTCTTAGAAATCCTTTTACCTTGCTGAGAAATGTCTGCTACGTGTTCCCTTAAATCTGATGTCTTAACAAAAGATCTTGGCCGGGCATGGTGGCTCATGCCTGTAATCTCAGCACTGTGGAGGCTGAGGCGGGTGGATCACAAGGTCAGGAGATCGAGACCATCCTGGCTAACACAGTGAAACCCCGTCTCTACTAAAAATACAAAAATTAGCTGGGCGTGATGGTGGGCACCTGTAGTCCCAGCTACTCAGGAGGCTGAGGCAGGAGAATGACGTGAACCCAGGAGGCGGAGCTTGCAGGGAGCCGAGATTGCGCCACTGCACTCCAGCCTGGGCGACAGAGCGAGACTCTGTCTCAAAAAAAAACAAAAAACAAAAAACAACAAAAGATCTTACCACCAGCCACATCTTTAATTCAACACTAAGGTCATCTCTTATTTTGATGATGTTTTGCTGATTGGAGATATTAGAAATACTGAACAGTTTTCTTTCCTGATCTAGAACACCCTAGCTCTTTTTTCTCTAAATTTGACTTGCAAACTGAACAATTCTTTTGTTTATCTTTTTCTTTCCATGCTGCATCATACACAGCTTAAAAAAAAAAAAGCCAACTGATTCTCCCAAATTTTGCTTTTAAATCCCCTTTGCCAGACTCACAAGTTTATTAGGTGGATTTCTTAACCTTCTGAGTTACCATGGGCAACAGTTTTACCGATTTTTCCTCTCCTACAGAATGTGGGCCATCCTCTCTCCAGTTTCTAATAGTTACCTGATACCATATGTTTAGTTTTTTTGTTTGGTATAATAGCACCCCACCCCTATTTCAGCCTTTATTGCATAACTACTCCAAAATTTATGGCTTAAAACAACGATTTATTATTTCTTAGGGTTTTGTGGGTTGGTTGGATACTGCTGCTGGGCTTGCCTGTGGTCACTCATGTGGCTGCAGTCACCTGGCAAGTTGATGGAGGACTGGGCTTAGCTTGCATGCTGGGCCTCTCTATTTGAACATTCGTCTTCAAGGAAGCTAGGCTGGACTCCTTCACCCGGCAATGACTGTGTTCCAAGAAAGCAGACATGGATGCTTGTAGGGGGCTTCTCCATAGCCCAGCTTCAACAGTCACACAATGCCACTTAGGCATCCTGTTGGCCAAGATGAGTCACAAGGCCATCCCAAATTCAAAAGGAGGGGACACAGACCACCTCTCGATAAGAGAGAGCATCTTTTTTTTTTCTTTTTGGCAGAGTCTCACTCTGTTGCCCAGGCTGGAGTGCAGTGGTGTGATCTTAGCTCACTGCAACTTCCGCCTCCTGGGTTCAAGCTATTCTCCTGCCTTAGCCTCCTGAGTAACTGGGATTACAGGCTCACACCACCATGCCTGGCTAATTTTTGTATTTTTAGTAGAGAAAGGGTTTTGCCATGTTGGCCCGCTGGTCTTGGACACCTGAGCTCAAGTGATCTTTCTGCCTTGGTGTCCCAAATTGCTGGGGTTACAGGTGCGAGCCACCATGCTGGGCCTGAGATAGCATCTTCCTGAGCAGCCTGGGAAGATAGAGTTTACAGTCTTCTAAAATCATACATCTTGTGGGTATAGAAATCGTCTCGGAGTCAGATGTTTCAATCAGCTCATGAAAAACAGCTTTTTAATTTCCCCTCTCTTTTCTTTTTTTTTTTGAGACAGTGTCTCACTCTGTAGCCCAAGCTGGAGTGCAGTGGCACGATCTCGGTTCATGCAACCTTTGCTTCTGGGGGCTCAAGTGATTCTCTGGCCTCAGCCTCCCAAGTAGCTGGGAATAGAGGCATGCACCACCACACTTGGTTAATTTTTTTTGCATTTTTAGTAGAGACGGGGTTTCACCATGTTGCCCTGGGTGGTCTCAAACTCTTGAGCTCAGGCCATCCACCTTCCTCGACCTCCCAAAGTGCTGAGATTACAGGTTTGAGCCACCGCACCCGGCCTGCTTCCCATCTCTTTTCTAAGGGAGAAGTCTGTCGGCAAATAAAAGTTGACATGCCTTCTAACATCATTTCTATCTCTTGTTGCTGTTTATCTTTGGAAGTGGCCTGCTTAAAGATACATATTCCATTTTAAAAAGCTATTATTTGGGGTAAAATATCACACAAAGCTCAGAAAGCTCCAATATTTAGTAACTTGTGAAAATGTAGAAACTATGAGAAATATTGGGGTAAAAGCATAGTGAAGAAGAGAGCAAGGGAAAGATCATTAAAAATAGAAATTGAACAGAAAACAAAGGATAAACATGATTTCCAGCATGAGTGTGAAAACACTGATTTCTCATTTTGACAAGTGAGGCAGAAGCCTTTACTTCTGTTTATTTGGGGGCTACAGAATGGAGTGTTTGTGTTATCTGAAATAGTGTCTTTCTTCTAACCTAGGGTCCCATACACTCTCCTATGCTTTGCAATATAAATAAAGGCAACGCACACTGAACTGCTAGGAGAACAATCAGGCCTTGTCCATACAAGAACACAGGAGAGGCAATGCAGACATCTCATATGAAGCAGAACTAGGCAATCTCCAAGACCGCTCCTCACCCCAAAATTCAATGATAGGGTGAAATTCAAAAGTGAATATGATAACTGAGTTTTCCTAAAATGGTCTCAGTTGTCTGCTTTCAAACTAAGCTACATTTAAAAACAGATATGACAATCTGTAGCTTAGATTCAGTTTGCATCTGTTTACAGATGTTATGCCTTTGTTCTCAGGGATTATCATTTTTATTTTTAGCCAGCTTTATTTTTTTAATATGTAAAACTTTCTACAAATGAAAAGGCATGATCTAATTTATAGGTTATATTTATATGGTCATAAAACCCCATTTGCAGCTGTGGCTGAATGAATTTCTCACATATTCAGGCATTATCTTGAGTTATACTTGTTAATATGCTCATTTGTAGTAACGGATGTGTCTGTTACTCAGTGGGTCAGCTCTACTAAGTCACGCAACTGAGACGGTTCAATAGATCAGTTTAAAGTTCATGATAAACTTGCACTGCCGCAAAGCTTTCTCAGAATCATTTGGGAGTATTCATAAGCCTGGCATGCCTTCTGCCCTTGGGTTCGATTTTTGCCATCTCATGTTTATATTCAACTTAGAAATCTGCTTTTCAGAGACTTCTGGGTTTAGAATTCACTGTGGGCTTTAAAGACAAGAAGAGAATTGCTCATATAATAACACAGGCTTTTGGCTCCTCAGATCTTCTGTTGAGCTGTGGCTTGGCAATGGTGACACTGTTAATTTTATTCTGCCATGCAGAGAACCAGTAAATTAGAGTAATGGGTTGTGCTGTCAATCAGGTTTAACAGAACCTCTAAGAGATTTTGCAAGGGAATGAAATCAACATGGTCCAGTTGTACTATATCATGATTAACAGTATATCTTAAGGAAACATGTTTTTTAAATGCTGTAAAGTGCATTTCTTTATGGTGAATATATTTTCCACTGCATGCTTTCTACACAATTGTAAATATGGTCCTTGGGGTATTAATTTATGGCCCTTTTAAAGCAAAGTTTAAGTATAGAATTTAAAAACATATATATATGAAAGAGAATGTCTTAAAAATGGAGTGAATTGCCTTTGCATAATTTCCTCTTTTGAGAGCTGTAGAAATGTGCAGAAGTCACCAGAGATCGAGAAGAAAGGACGTCTAAAAGTCACCACAGAAGAATATGACCGTGAGCAGGGCCGTGGCCAGCTTCTGCCTTGGCTGTGCACACTGGGCAAGCAGGGGAGGGGGACTGGGCTGTTTGTCTTCAGCCGGGGGCCACCTTCATTCTCTGTTACTAATTCTGGACAGACCAATTCTTGTCTCCTGTATTTCAAAAAGTAATTTTTTTTTTTTTTTTTTTTGAGACGGAGTCTTGCTCTGTCGCCCAGGCTGGAGTGCAGTGGCGTGATCTTGACTCACTGCAAGCTCCGCCTCCCGGGTTCATGCCATTCTCCTGCCTCAGCCTCCCGAGTAGCTGGGACTACAGGCGCCCGCCACCACGCTTGGCTAATTTTTTGGATTTTTAGTAGAGACAGGGTTTCACCGTGTTACGAGGTCAGGAGATCGAGACCATCAAAAAGTATTTTTGCCCATACACATTTCTTGATACTCTGTAAAACATTCTGGAATTTTAAACCCTTGGTATGTTGTTTCTTGCCTTTAAAAAGAGCATTTATGAACCAACATACCTTTTAAAGGTCATTGATACCATTTTTAACAAGGTTTTGTACTTTATCATTCTCATTTATCTTCCATTTTCTAATTTTTCTTTCAGTATCTCTTTATTTCCTTTTACTCCTATCTGAAAATTTAATTTATATTAGAAACATACTAGCTATACATGCTAAACTTATTAAATATCTACTAGAATTTTAGAGATGGAATAGTTCTTAGTCTGGTTCACCCTGAGTATTTTGACTATCTGATATAAAAGAAGCAACAGATAGAAGGAGAAGAGTAGATGAGGAAACAGCAGATAATGGCATAAGTCATGTTGTCATCATTGGGAAGGCTGGGAACAAGTCAAATCCTTCTGCTGAAAAACTCTCCTAACCTACACACTCCCGAAGGCTTTGTGTGTATGTGCATATTGGGAGGTAGGGGTGGTGGTCACTGTGGTGGGGCTGATGCCGGAGATGCCATATTTTTCCTTTGCGCTTCTCCCCACCCACCCTTGCCCCAGGGCTCTGCTTTGTGCTGAACACACAGTAGGTGGGACTTGTGAGCACTTGTAGTCAGCACTTGTTATTTTCGGACTTGATTATCTATCACTTTTCTCAGTAACTATAGAACATAGCCAATAGGAGATCATCCTTACAGCCCCAAAGGGCAGAAAATGAAGTTGACTTAATCATCCACTTGTTAGCGCACCTTACTCTATGAACTCAAAATGCAGTGGAGAGAAAAGGGATGGAAGAAATTTGTTCATAATGAGCAAGCTAGGAAGACTGCTGCAAGGTGACTTGAATTTTTTAATTTAAATATTTTAGACATAAAAAAGTATTTGAGGGGTTGATAGCTTTGGAAGTTAAAGGCTGCTATCAGCCTGACAGAGCAGTTCAAAAAAACAGCTTGAGGATACCAATCATTTGCTTATCTTTATTTTAGTTTCCAAAATTTCAGATGGACTTTGTGAATTGAGACTCTTAGAAAACTGCCAGTTTCTATGTTTTGATTTTCGTGAAAATCAGAACCAAAGAGGAAAAGGTAAGTGATAATATTTTTGGTTTAAGAAATTAAACCAAAGTGTCATGGTGCTACTGAGGTGCAGTTTCACATTCTTTTTTCAGAAGATGAGCCAATAACAAAATGACTCTGTTTTATAGAATATTATTTTCAGTATTAGATATTACTAATTAAGTATTACACAAAGCTGTTTAGCAGAAAAAATGTGATTTTTCAGACAGCAGAAGTTGAGGAAGTCTGAGTTTCTGCGTTTTGACACTGACTGGGTAGGAGTTTCTTTGTCTATAGAACAGGGATTTGTAGAGGAAGACCTGGCTGCCTTGGTGAGTTACACCCTCTAATCGTGAGCATGACGTTGTGTAAAAGGAAAATTGTCTTTATTCTTAGGATTTTTTTTTTCTTTTTTACCTTGTAATTTAGCATTAAAAACAGGGAGAGAACATGCCAGTCGGAATGGCTATTATTAAAATGTCAAAAAACAACAGATGCTGGCGAGGTTGCAGAGAAAAAGGAACGCTTTTACACTGGTGGTGGGAGCGTAAATTAGTTCAGCCATTGTGGAAGACAGTGTGGCAATTCCTCAAAGACCTAAAGACAGAAATACCAATGGGATCAACCCAGCAATACCATTACTGGGTATATACCTCAAGGAACATAAATCATTCTTTATAAAGATACATGCACGCATATGCTCATTGCAGCACTATTCACAATAGCAAAGACATGGAATCAACCCAAATACCCATCAGTGATAGACTGGATAAAGAAAATGTGGTACATATACACCATGGAATACTATGCAGCCATAAAAACGAATAAGATCATGTCCTTTGCAGGGACGTGGATGGAGTTGGAAGCCGTTATCCTCAGCAAACTAATGCAGGAACAGAAAACTAACACTGCATGTTATCACTTATAAGTGGGAGTTGAATGATGAGGGAGGCAACAACACACACTGGGGCCTGTCGGAGGGAGGGGTCGGGGAGGGAGAGCATCAGGAAGAATGGCTGATGGATGCTGGGCTTAATACCTAGGTGACGGGATGATCTGTGCAGGAAACCACCATGGCCCTGGTTTACCTGTGTAAGAAACCTGCACACCTGGCACATGTACTCCTGAACTTAAAAGTTGAAAAAAAAAAAAAAAAAACAGGGAGAGAAGAAAAAGAGGGTGGTTATGCAAAAATTATTTTACTTAATTTTTTAACCCAAGCTATGTTATTTTATATTCATAAAAATGCTCTATTCTTCAAAGGGAGCTTTGTTCTTGAAAAATAGTGCAGCTGTGCCTCAGGCTATGCTATAACATTTTCAGAAAACCACAATCAAGAAGGAATTGAAAAAGAGGGCACTTAGAACTCTCCTCAATGGGTAAAGGAAAGTTAAAAACTTTGAAACTAGTTGCCTGGGAAACTGCTGACAGGGGTGGGGATGGGATTTTGGACTAGGCTTCTTTTTTGTCTCTAAGCCTGTATCAGTTCCTACTGTGAATACAATTTTTTTTCCCTTCTGCTAGGCTATGAGGGAAAGCAGTTTAGAAGGGCAAAGTGGGTCTTGTCCCTGGGAGGTGGGAATCTACAAGTGGCCAGCACTCCTGGTAGTTCAGGGTGGTGCAGGATAGGATGGAAGCTGGCGGTGGGGATTCGGGAGCTCTGTCAACTGCCAAATGCTTGTCTGCATCCTCTGTCCCTATTTCCAAGATGTATTTAGGGAAAACTCTGCATAGATCTCCTCCTTAACAACACCCCTTTCCCTTTTTTAAGATGGGGTCTCATTCTGTCACCCAGGTTGGGAGTGCAGTGCCATAATAATGGCTCACTGCAACCTCGAATTCCTGGGCTCAAGTAATCCTTCCTCCTCAGCCTCCTGAGTAGCTGGGATTACAAGCACACATGACCATGACAGGCTAATTGTAACAAGCCCTTTTGTACTGTTTGTTTTTCTTGGTTACTAGTCACACAGTTCTTATCTTTGCATGCCAGTAATTTTTCATTCAATACTGGAAATTGCTCAAAAAAAAAAAAAAAAGAGGTTCCTGTTGATGATGCCATTCAACAGAGAAAGTTCAAGTTTTTCTTTGCTAAGAAATAGAGTAGAAGAAAGGGAAAACTCATTTTAATCCAGTCAGGGACTGAGCTGAGTTGAGGTTAAATGGCAGTTTTGGAAAGATTTCATGGCTCATCCTGTGTGTGCTCCAATACCTAGTGTGTGTCCCTTCAGAGTTTTTAGTTCAGAGATAGGTGGGTCTTTGTGGTCTCAGCGCCAATGGACTGTGGGAATTTCTGTCCTGTCTTTCAGAGGTTTTCAGCTTAACACTTTAATCTCCCACTGTGTACATCTTTGGAATTAGCTGAATGCCTTGAGAAGGGAGACCAGCTCTCAGGTTTCCAATTTTGTCAAACCAGGTTTTAAATGACCACCCAAAGCTGTGTTAGTTTTTATGTCTCTCCAGCAGAGACCCTCTGTCCAGACCAAGACCAGATCCTCTGACTCTAGCCAGTGCCCAGAATTGGCAAATATCTCCTGGAGAAGGCAGCTGCAGATTCTCAACTCATTTATAAAATTAGTCCCTGGAATTTCAGTCCCTCTAGTATCATTTACTTTTGCAGTTCTCTGATACATTAGAAAATATGATTTTAAAAAAATGTATCAGGGTTTTGTAATTGTTCTCAGTGTGAGCAGTTTGCTGCTATGAATTCCAGCATGTCCAGAAGCAGAAATATACCTAATGTATTATATTGTTTGTCTTTTTATGTGTGTTCTTATTTTTGCCCATTTGGTCTGAGTTGGACTGAGAGAAATGAAATAAAGTCTCCTACTGCTGTTTCCATCTGTCTCTCCTTGTGCCTCCCGTGATTTCTGTTTCATCAACATCACTGCCACATTGTTTAGTATAGAGATATTTATCACTGTTATATCTTCGTTTTGGTTTGTATTCATTAGCATTATAAAGTGCCTTTATATATTTATGGTATCTTTTTAGCTTGAATTCTGCCTTCTGTCATGCTGTATTATAAACACCACTTTCTTTTTGTTTTGCACTTTTCTCATATGTTTTGGTTCATCTTTTTATTTTTAACTTTTTTGAATAATTTTGCTTTCAAGGTGCCACTCTAAAAAACAGCTTCATTGTGATATAAATGATATACAAAGAATTGTACATATTTAAATACAATTTGATGAGTTTGTACATATGCATACACCCATGAAACCACCACCACAATCAAGGTAATAGACATTTCTATCACCTCAAAGTTCCCTTGTGCCTATCTCTTTTTTTTAGTGGATTTTGTATGAATGTTTAACATGAAATCTACCCTCAACAAATTTTTAAGTGCACAATACATCAACCTGACTTGTGAATAGCATAGGAATTGGGTTTGTGACATAGATTTGTGACTCAATCTGAAAATGTCTTTTCTTTTACTAGGTAAAAGACTTACCTACATTCATTGGTATGGTCAATTATAGTTCTATAGTCTTACATGTGTAACATTTAAAAAGTCTCTCCTTTGTGGTCTCTCTCTCTCTTTTTTGTTCTAGTGGCTGCATATTACACCATAATCATCATCTTCCTCCTCCTCCTCCTCCTCATCGTGGTCTTCTTCTTCCTCTTCTTTCTTCTCCTTCTCTTCTTCCTCTTCCTCCTCTTCCTTCTTCCTTCCTTCTTCTTCTTTCTTTCTTTTTTTTTTTTTTTTTGAGACAGGGTCTTGCTCTGTTGCCCAGGCTGCAGTGCAGTGGCACAATCTTGGCTCACTGCGGCCTTGACCTCGAGGGCTCGAGCGATCCTCACACCTCAGCCTTCTGAGTAGCTAGGACCACAGATGCATGCCACCATATCCAGCCTATTCTCTTCTTTCTTTAGAATTATCTATAATTTGGCTGTGTGCGGTGGCTCACACCTGTAATCCCAGCACTTTGGGAGGCTGAGCCGGGCAGATCATGAGGTCAGGAGACGGAGACCATCCTGGCCAACATGGTGAAGCCCCATCTCTACTAAAAATACAAAAATTAGGTGGGCATGGTGGCACGCACTCGTAATCCCAGCTACTTGGGAGGCCGAGGCAGGAGAATCGCTTAAAACCAGGAGGCGGAGGTTGCAGTGAGCCGAGATTGCACCATTGCATTCCAGCCTGGTGACAGAGTGAGACTCCATCTCAAAAAAAAAAAAAAAAAAAATTATATCTATAATTTTCTTAATGTAATTAGCATTAAAATTAACTTATATTCTTTTCTTCCCTCTTCATCCCTCCCCTCAAATATACAATTTTAGTTGATAATACTGTCTTTCTTAGTGTTTACTTTTGTATTGTTAAGTATGCTATACTTCTAAAGCTTGATTTTTCAACTTGATTTATCTCTTGTTTGCCAGGTATAATTGATGAAGCAACTAGCGAGCTTATTCTTTCCTCCACCTTTTCTTTCCCCATCTTTGCTTTTTAAAAAAGTTTTATGTCGTCAAATCTTATATCACTTTCATTCTATTCTGTCACCTTTATTTTCCCCATTGTTTTCATCTTATAGCTTACAGGTAGATATATTTGATGCCCATGAGAAGTCCTTTTGTTGAGGTTTCCCTGGTCATTCATGATTGGTTAGTTTTTCCCCTAGTTTTCTTAAGAAGAATTCACATCAACAACATTCTCTGAATTCTTGAATATTCCAAGTAATTAGATAGTATTAACTGTTGCAAGAAATGAGATCAAAAGCTCTATTGCTAACAGGAGTGTCATTTGACACAACCACTGTAAAACAGGTTTGCAACAACTTGAAAACTTAAACAGCCATTATCCTATAACCTGTAAATTTCACTCCTACCAAGATAAACTCTTGCACAGGCATAAAAGGAGTCACTTACAAGACTCTCTATTACAGCACTGTTTTTATTGTGTTTTGTTTTTTAACTTTTTTTTTTTTTTTGAGACGGAGTCTCGCTCTTTCGCCCAGGCTGGAGTGCAGTGGCACTATCTCGGCTCACTGCAAGCTCCGCCTCCTGGGTTCACACCATTCTCCTGCCTCAGCCTCCCGAGTAGCTGGGGCTACAGGCGCCCGCCATCGCGCCCAGCTAATTTTTTGTATTTTTAGTAGAGACGGGGTTTCACCATGTTAGCCAGGATGGTCTCGATCTCCTGACCTTGTGATCCACCGACCTCGGCCTCCCAAAGTGC
Source organism: Homo sapiens (assembly GCF_000001405.40). NCBI lineage: Eukaryota > Metazoa > Chordata > Mammalia > Primates > Hominidae > Homo > Homo sapiens. The sequence continues at coordinate 30,610,397 of NC_000012.12, read as the reverse complement.
TGGGATTACAGGCGTGAGCCACCGTGCCCGGCCTGTTTTTTAACTTTTATTTTAAATTTAGGGGTATATGTGCAGGTTTGTTGCATAGGTAAACTTGTGTCATGTGGGTTTGTTGCACCGATTGTTTCATCACCCAGGTATTAAGCCTAGTACCCATTAGTTATTTTTCCCAATCCTCTCCCTCCTCCTAACCTCCACTCTCAACTAGGTCCCAGTGTGTGTTGTTCCCCTCTCATGTGTCCATGAGTTCTCATCATTTAGCTTTCACTTTTAAGTGAGAACATGTGGTGTTTGGTTTTCTGTTCCTGTGTTAGTTTGCTAAGGATAATGGCCTCCAGCTACATCCATGTCCCTGCAAAGAGCATGAACTTGTTCCTTTTTATGGCTGCATAGTATTCCATGGTGTGTATGTACTACATTTTCTTTATCCAATCCATCATTGATAGGCAGTTAAGTTGATTCCATGTCTTTACTATTGTGAATAGTGCTACAGTGAACATACACATCCATGTGTCTTTATAATAGAATGGTTTATATTCCCTGGGGTATATAACCAGTAATGGAATTGCTGGGTCTATCCCATTGGTATTTCTGTCTTTAGGCCTTTGAAGAATCACCACACCATCTTCCGCAATGGTTGAAGTAATTTACATGCCCACTAACAATGTATAAATCTTCCTTTTTCTCCACAACCTCACCAACATCTTTTTTGACTTTTGAATAATGGCCATTCTGACTGGTGTGAGATAGTATCTTATTGTGGTTTTGATTTGCGTTTCTCTAATGATCAGTGATGTTGAGATTTTTTTCATATGCTTGTTTCATATGCTTGTTTGTCACATTTATATCTTCTATTAAGCAGTGTCTGTTCATGTCCTTTGCCAACTTTTTAATGAGATTGTTTTCTTTTTTCTTGTAAATTTAAGTTCCTTATAGATGCTAGATATTAGACCTTTTTCAGATGCATAGTTTGCAAAGATTTGTTCCCATCCTGTAGGTTGTCTGTTTACTCTGTTGATAGTTTCTTTTGCTGTGCAGAAGCTCTGTAGTTTAATTAGATCTCATTTGTCAATTTTTGTTTTTGTTGAAATTGCTTTTGGCATTAATTCGCTTAGGATTATGGTCTCCAGCTCTGTTCATGTTGCTGCAAAGGATGTGATTTCATTCTTTTTATGGCTGTGTAATATTCTATGGTGTATATGTACTACATTTTCTTTGTTCAATCCACTGTTGGTGGGCACCTAGTTTGATTCCATGTCTTTCCTATTATGAATACTGCTGTGATGAACATGTGAGTGCCTTGTTTTCTTTTGAATATATATACCCAGTAATAGGATTGCTGAATCAAATGGCAGTTCTGTTTTAAGTTCTTTGAGAAATCTCCAAACAGCTTTCCACAGTGGTTGAACTAATTTACATTCCCACCAACAGTGTATACGCATTCCCTTTTCTCCATGGTCTTGCCAGTATCTGTTGTTTTTGAACATTTTCATAATAGCCATTCTGACTGGCGTGAGATGTTATCTCACTGTGGTTTTCATTTGCACTTCACAGATAATTAGTGATGTGCAACATTTTTTGTATATGTGTTAGCTGCTTGTATGTCTGTTTTGAGAAGTGTCTGTTCATGTCTTTTGCCCAATTGTTAACAGGGTTGTTTGTTTTTTTGCTTGTTGGGTTGTTTAAGTTCCTTATAGATTCTGGATATTGGATCTTTGTCAGATTTTTTTTCTGACAAATATTTGTGACTATTTTCTCCCATTCTGTAGGTTGTTTATTGTGTTGACAGTTTCTTTTTCTTTTTCTTTTGTTTTGTTTTGTGTGTGTGTGTGTGTTTAATATTTTAAGTTCTGGGGTACATGTGCAGAACATGCAGTTTTGTTACATATGTGTAAACGTGTCATGGTGGTTTGCTGCAGGCATCAACCCATCACCTACATTAGGTATTTATCATAATGCTATCCCTCCCCTAGCTCCCTACCCCCTGAGAGTCCCTGGTGGGTGATGTTCCCTGCCCTGTGTCCATGTGTTCTCCTTGTTCAACTCCCACTTATGAGTGAGAACATGTAGTGTTTGGTTTTCTGTTCTTGTGATAGTTTGTTGAGAATGATGGTTTCCAGCTTCATCATGTCCCTGCAAAGGACATGAACTCATCTTTTTTTATGGCTGCATAATATTCCAAGGTGTATGTGTGCCACATTTTCTCAATCCAGTCTATCATTGATGGACATTTGGGTTGGTTCCAAGTCTTTGCTATTGTGAATAGTGCCACAATAAACATACGTGTGCGTGTGTCTTTATAGTAGAATGATTTATAATCCTTTGGGTATATACCCAGTAATCGGATTGCTGAGTCAAATGGTATTTCTAGTTCTAGATCCTTAAGAATTCCCTCACTGAATTCCACAATGGTTGAACTAATTTACACTCCCACCAACAGTATAAAAGCATTCCTATTTCTCCACATCCTCTCCAGCAACTGTTGTTTCCTGACTTTTTAATGATTGCCATTCTAACTGGTGTTAGATGGCATCTCATTGTAGTTTTGATTTGCATTTCTCTAATGACCAGTGATGATGAGCATTTTTTCGTATGTTTGTTGGCTGCATAAATGTCTTCTTTTGAGAAGTGTCTGTTCATATCCTTTGCCCACTTTTTAATGGGGTTGTTTGTTTTTTTTCTTGTAAATGTGTTTAAGTTCTTTGTAGATTCTGGATATTAGCCCTTTCTCATATGGATAGATTGCAAAAATTTTCTACCATTTTGTAGGTTGCCTGTTCACTCTAATGATAGTTTCTTTTGCTGTGCAGAAGCTCTTTAGTTTAATTAGATCCCATTTGTCAATTTTGGATTTTGTTGCCATTGCTTTTGGTGTTTTAGATATGAAGTCCTTGCCCATGCCTATGTCCTGAATGGTATTGCCCAGGTTTTCTTCTAGGGTTTTTGTGGTTTTAGGTCTTATGTTTAAGTCTTTAATCCATCTTGAGTTGATTTTTGTTTAAGGTGTAAGGAAGGGGTCCAGTTTCAGTTTTCTGCATATGGCTAGCCAGTTTTCCCAGCACCATTTATTAAATAGGGAATCTTTTTCCCATTGCTTATTTGTATCAGATTTGTCAAAGATCAGATGGTTGTAAATGTGTGGTGTTATTTCTGAGGCCTCTGTTCTGTTCCATTGGTCTATATATCTGTTTTGGTACCAGTATCATGCTGTTTTGGTTACTGTAGCCTTGTAGTATATTTTGAAGTCAGGTAGTGTGATGCCTCCAGCTTTGTTCTTTTTGCTTAGGATTGTCTTGGCTATGCGGGCTCTTTTTTGGTTCCATATGATGTTTAAAGTAGCTTTTTCAAATTTTGTGAAGGAAGTCAATGGTAGCTTGATGGGGATAGCATTGAATCTATAAATTACTTTTGGCAGTATGGCCATTTTGACAATACTGATTCTTGCTATCCATGAGTGTGAAATGTTTTTCCATTTGTTTGTGTCCTCTCTTATTTTGTTGAGCAGTGGTTTGTAGTTCTCCTTGAAGAGGTTCTTCACATCCCTTGTAAGTTGTATTCCTATGTATCTTATTCTCTTAGTGGCAAGTGTGAATGGGAGTTCACTCATGATTTGGCTATTCGTCTGTTATTGGTGTATAGGAATGCTTGTGATTTTTGCACATTGATTTTGTATCCTGAGACTTTGCTGAAGTTGTTTATCAGCTTAATGAGATTTTGGGCTGAGATAATGGGGTTTTCTAAATATACAATCATGTCTTCTGCAAACAGAGACAACTTGACCTCCTCTCTTCCCGTCTGAATATGCTTTCTTTCTTTCTCTTGCTGATTGCCCCGACCAGAACTTCCAATACTATGTTGAATAGGAGTGGTGAGAGAGGGCATCCTTGTTTTGTGCCAGTTTTCAAAGGGAATGCTTCCAGTTTTTGCCCATTCAGTATGCTATTGGCTATGGGTTTGTCATAAATAGCTCTTATTATTTTGAGATACATCTATTGATACCTAGTTTATTGACAGTTTTTAGCATGAAGGGCTGTTGAATTTTGTCGAAGGCCTTTTCTGCATCTATTGAGATAATCATGTGGTTTTTGTCACTGGTTCTGTTTATGTGATGGATTACATTTATTGATTTGCATATGTTGATTTGCATCTCAGGTATGAAGCCAACCTGATTGTGGTGGATAAGCTTTTTGATGTGCTGCTGGATTCAGTTTGCCAGTATTTTATTGAGGATTTTTGCATCAATGTTCATCAGGGACACTGGCCTGAAATTTTCCTTTTTTGTTGTGTCTGCCAGGTTTTGGCATCAGGATGATGCTGGCCTCATAAAATGAGTTAGGGAGGATTCCCTCTTTTTCTATTGTTTGGAATAATTTCAGAAGGAATGGTACCACCTCCTTTTTATACCTCTGGTAAAATTTACCTGTGAATCTGTCTGTTCCTGGACTTTTTTTGATTGGTAGGCTATTAATTACTGCCTCAATTTCAGAACTTGTTATTGGTCTATTGAAGGATTCGACTTCTTCCTGGTTTAGACTTGGGAAGTTGTATGTGTCCAGGAATTTATCCATTTCTTCTAGGTTTTCTAGTTTATTTGCGTAGAGGTGTTTATAGTATTCTCTCATGGTAGTTTGTATTTCTGTGGAATCAGTGGTGATATCCCCTGTATTATTTTTTATTGCATCTATTTGATTCTTCTCTCTTTTCTTCTTTATTAGTCTGGCTAGCAGTCTATCTATTTTGTTGATCTTTAAAAAAAAAAAAAACAGCTCCTGGATTCATTGATTTTTCAAAGGGTTTTTCATGTCTCTATCGCTTTCAGTTCTGCTCTGACCTTAGTTATTTCTTGTCTTCTGCTAGCTTTTGAATTTATTTGCTGTTACTTCTCTACTTCTTTTAATTGTGATGTTAGGGTGTCAATTTTAGATCTTTCCTGCTTTCTCTTGTGGGCTTTTAGTGTTTAAATTTTCCTCTACACACTGCTTTAAATGTGTCCCAGAGATTCTGGTACGTTGTGTCTTCGTTCTCATCGGTTTCAAATAATATCTTTATTTCTGCCTTCATTTCATTATTTACCTGGTAGTCATTCAGGAGCAGGTTGTTCAGTTTCCATGTAGTTGTGCAGTTTTGAGTGAGTTTCTTAATCCTGAGTTCTAATTGGATTGCTCTGTGGTCTGAGAGACTGTTATGATTTTTCATTTGCTGAGGAGGGTTTTACTTCCAATTATGTGGTCAATTTTAGAATAAGTACGATGAGGTGCTGAGAAGAATGTATATTCTGTTGATTTGGGGTGGAGAGTTCTATTCCTTTCTGTTTATTAGTTTTCCTTCTAACAGGCCTCTGCTGCAGGTCTGCTGGAGTTTGCTGGAGGTGCACTCCAGACCGTGTTTGACTGGGTATCACCAGCGAAGGCTGCAGAACAGCCAAGATTGATGCCTGTTTTTCCTCTGGAAGCTTTGTCCCAGAGGGGCACCTGCCAGATGCCAGCCAGAGCTCTCCTGTACGAGGTGTCTGTCGGCCCCTACTGGGAGATGTCTCCCAGTCAGGATACACGGGGGGTCAGGGACCCACTTGAGGAGGCAGTCTGACCCTTAGCAGAGCTCAAATGCTGTGCTGGGAGGTCCGCTGCTCTCTTCAGAGCTGTCAGGCAGGGATGTTTAAGTCTAATGAAGCTGCACCCAAAGCTTTCCCTTCCAGGTGCTCTGTCCCAGGGAGATGGGGGTTTTATCTATAAATCCCTGACTGGGGCTGCTGCCTTTTTTTCAGAGATGCCCTGCTCAGACAGGAGAAATCTGGCAGTCTGGCCACAGCAGCCTTGCTGAGCTGCAGTGGGCTCCACCCAGTTCAAACTTCCTGGCTTCTTTGTTTACAGTGTGAGCAAAAAACTGCCTACTCAAGCCTCAGCAATGGCGGACACCCCTCCCCCCACCAAGTTCGAGCATCCCAGGTCAATCTCAGACTGCTGCTGTGCTGGCAGCGAGAATTTCCAGCCAGTGGATCTTAGTTTGCTGGGCTCCATGGGGGTGGGACCCGCCGATCCAGACCACTTGGCTTCCTGGGGCTTCAGCACCCCTTTCCAGGGGAATGAACGGCTCTGTCTCACTGGCGTTCCAGGCACCACTGGGGTATGGGAAAAAAACAACAACAACAACTCCTGCAGCTACTTCTGTGTCTGCCCAAACGGCCGCCCAGTTTTGTGCTTGAAACACAGGGCCCTGGTGGGGTAGGCACCGAAGGGAATCTCCTGGTCTGCAGGTTGCAAAGACCGTGGGACAAGGGCAATATCTGGGCTGGAGTGTGCATTGTTCCTTGGATTCAGTTCCGTAAGGCTTCCCTTGGGTAGGGGAGAAAAATCCCCCAACCCCTTGCACTTCCCGGATGAGGCAACGCCCCACCCTGCTTTGGCTTGCCCTCTGTGGTTGTCCAACCAGTCCCAGTGAGATGAACTAGGTACCTCAGTTGGAAATGCAGAAATCACCTGCCATCTGCATCAATCTCGTTGGGAGCTGCAGACCGGAGCTGTTCCTATTCGGCCATCCTGCTAGCAATTGACTGATAGTTTCTTTTACTATGCTCTTTAGTTTTATTAGTTCCTGCTTTTTAATTTTTTGGTTGCAGTTGCTTTTGTGGTCTTAGTTGTAATTTATTTCCCAAGCCTGATGTTTCCTAGGTTTTCTTCTAGGATTTTTATAGTTTGAGGTCTTACATTTAAATCTCTAATTAATCTTGAGTTAACTTTTGTATATGGTGACGGGTAGGGATCATGTTTTATTCTCCTGCATGTGGCCAGCCAACTATCCTGCACAATTTATTGAATAGGGAGTCTTTTCTCTTTTGCTTGTTTTTGTCAACTTTGTTGAAGAGCAGATGGCTGTAGGTGTGTGGCTTTATTTCTGCATTCTTTATTCTGTTCCATTGGTCTAAGGTGTCTGTTTTTGTACCAATACCATGCTGTTTTGGTTACTGTAGCCTTATAGTATAGTTTGAAATCAGGTAATGTGATACCTCTGGCTTTGTTCCTTCTGCTTAGGATTGCTTTGGCAATTTAAAGAATGCTAAAAATAGGCCCCCAATCTCTCCTGACTTATAAGGTTTCTGCTAAGATGTCTGCTGTTAGCCTAATGGAGTTCCCTTTGTATGTGATCTGACCTTTTTTTTTGCTAGCTGCCTTTAAGATTTTTTCTTTAGTGTTCACTTTGGACAGTCTGGTGACTATATGCCTTGGTGATGTTGTTTTATATAGTATCTTGCAGATGTTCTCTGGATTTCTTGTATCTCGATGTCTGTCTCTCTAGCAAGATTAGGAAACTTTTCTTGAGTTATTCCCTCAAAAATATATTTACCAGATTGTTTACTTTTTCTTCCTCTCAAGAATGTTAATAATTTGTAGGTTTTTTCACTTCACGTAATTACAATTTCTTGAAGACTGTTCGTTTTTTTACATTCACTTTCCTTTATTTTTGTTTGGCTGGGTTAGCTTGAAAGACTGGTCTTCAAGCTCTGTAATTTCTTCTGCTTGGCCCAATCTATTGATAAAACTTTTAATTGTACTTTGAAACTCCTTAGGTGAGTTTTTCAATTCTAGAAGGTCTGATTGATTTCTTTTTTTTTTCTTTTTCTTTTTCTTTCTGTTTTTTTTTTTTTTTGAGACAGAGACTCACTCTGTCACCCAGGCTGGAGTACAGTGGCATGATCTCGACTCACTGCAACCTCTGCCTCCTGGGTTCAAGCAATTCTCCTGCCTCAGCCTTCTGAGTAGCTGGGATTACAAATGTGTGCCACCACGCCCAGCTAATTTTTGTGTTTTTAGTAGAGATGGGGTTTCACCATGTTGGCCAGGTTGGCCTCGAACTCCCAACCTCAACTGATCTGCCCACCTCAGCCTCCCAAAGTGCCGGGATTACAGGCGTGAGCCACCGCACCTAGCCCTGATTAATTTCTTTTTAGGATGTTTATCTCTTCCTTCATTTCCCAGAGATTGCTTTAGAAGTTTCTTTGTGTTGATTTTTAACCTTGTCTTGGATATCATTGCGTTTTTTTTTTTTCCTAGTCCATGCTTTGAATACTTTATCTGTCATTTCTTAGTTTCAATTTTGGTTAGCAACAATTGCTGGAGAGCTAGTGCAATCCTTTGATGGTATCACTACATTCATATTTTTCATGGTACCAGAATTCTTGCCCTGGTTCCTTCTCATCTGAGATGCTGACACTTATAATTTTGTATTTATTTTCTAGCAGGTAGAAATTTTCTTTTTATTTCTTTCTCTATATTATTATTATTTTTTCTTTCTCTTTCCTTTTTTCCATCTCCCCAGCAGGTATAACTATAGAGAATGTTGAGTAGAGTTGTTTGGCTTTGCTTCTATAGCTGTATGCACTTCTGATGGCAACTTTTATACTGGGCTGTGCGCTTCAAACTCTAAGCCTGTAGATGGCACTTATAGGTATGAGCTGGTTGCAGCCAATTTGGGGATATACTTGACCTTTGTTTACTGGGAGAAGCTCCCTGTTGCTTCAGGTAAATGGGCTGATCCATGGAGTGCACAGTGGTCTGAGCTTCCTGTTTAGCCCCTGGTGAGTGGGGGACATGATGGATGGAGCTGGACCAGGCGAGTCTGCCTACAGGCTCCAGGGACAAGCACAAGTGCTGAGGGAGAATCCAGTGAGCAGCCATCAAGTACCTAGAGGTGCACCTAGGCATGGAGCTGGGAAACCTCTTTAGCCCCAAGTTCACTGCACAGGGATGGGGGATGGCCTAAACTCCTTATCCAGGAGAGGGGGCACTCCAGGTGCCTGGAGATCTGCCTGGGTGTGGAGTGAAGAGGTCCCTGCTTCACCAGGATCTCTATATAGGAAGAATGGCATAGGTCAGAATGCCAATCCAGGTGAGTGGGTACTTTGAATACCTGGAGATCTGCCTATTGTGGAGCAGAGAAAGCCCCGTTTCACCACAATCTATACTCAGGAAGGTTGAGGTGGCTCAAGCTGCTGAACTAAGCAAATGGGTCCTCCAAATGCCTGGAGATCTGCCTGGGCATGGAGCAGAAAAGGCCCCACTATATCTTGATCTATGTCTATGAAGGGTGGGGCAGCTCAGGCTGCTGGTCCAGGCAAACAGGTACTCCAAATGCCTGGATTTCTGCCTGTGGCTAGAGTGGATAGGGCCCCACTGCACCATGATCTCAGGGGAACAGGATGGAGCACCCAGAAATGGCGTGCACAGACTGGTTCCAAGTCACTAAGCTGACCCTGGCTGCAAGTCTTGCTGCTCAGGAGAAACTGCAGTGGTAGCAGCTCCCATCCCATCCTAGTCTTGCAATGGGGAATAACAAAATTCCAGTGCCTACTGCTGAGGTACTTTTCATAGTTCTAGCTCTGGAGACCCCTATGCCACTCTAGAGCAGGCACTCCAGTCTCTGACCTGAGACTAAAATGCCTGCATGGCTACACTGCCAGGTTGCTAAAGAATGGCTGACTTTATGTCCCTGGGTTAAAACACATCCTGCTTTTGGTCCCAGGTCTGGGAAAATGCCTGTAGTGTTCCCCAGTGTCTTTTTTCTCATAGCATCTCCAAGCTCCTCCCCAGGTTGGCTGCAAGGCTTAGGATAAACAAGGTGTCCTCCCTTGGCCTGGGTTGCTCGGATCCCCAGTGGAAAGGTAAGTAACAGAGGGAGGCTGTCTGCCTGTCTCACATACTGGGGTTTCACTCACTTTTCTCAGCCAGATGCTTTCATGGGGTCCGTTTGCCCACATTTTCCTCTCTGGGATCTGAGGTGTCCTTCATGATTCTGGTGAATCCCCATTTTCCTTCTTGAATTAATGCCACAGAGTTGATCTTTATGCACTATCTTGCTATTTCCAAGTGACTGAGGCATGCTAAAAGGGTGTAATCCACCATCTTGTGAAAAAAAGCGTGGTAATCTTATTGTGGGTCTTGGGTGAAGAATTGTTTTTTTCTTGCTACATTTAGAGTTTTCTCTTTATCCTTTGTTTGATTTTGATGTGCCTAGGTGTGGATCTGTTTCAGTTTATCCTACTTAGAGATTGTTGAGCTTCTTGGATGTTGAGCTTCTTGGACATGAAGATTAATGTTTTTCATCAAATGTAAGTTTTCAGTCATTATTCACATTTTTTTCTGCTCCTTTGCCTTTTTTCTCTAAGTATGTCACCTTTGTGTAGCAGAAAAAGAAAAGGCATACATGACTGGATTAGGGGCCTCATCACATGTCAGGGGCCAGCTCTGCAAGTCTTGTACTTTGGAAAAAGAACCAACTAGCCTGTTCAGCGATACAAATGTCAGAAAGTTGAGAATGCCTGGATTTCAAATATCCTAATAGACTATAGAGGAGATATGTTTGGTGAAGGAAATCCTTTCCGGAATCCTCCAAGTCATAATGTAAATGGTTGCCTACTAATTCTCAGCCCTTAAATCTAGTCCTAGTAAGCCCTGATAAACTGACTCATACAAGATGGGAATGCCTACCATGAAATGCTGAGATGGGATATGACAGTGACAACAAAGGCTGCTGCTGTAATGTGATCTCTCCAGATGGGTTCTTTCATCTTAGGTAAAAAGGTCAGTCCTATGATCGTTTGCAAACACTGCAATGGTTGACTTTATTATAAGGATTATGATCTAAGTGATGTAATGGCAAAAATCCTTTCCTAATCCTGTATTGAGTCAACAACTGTTCTCTATTTGCTTTGATACAGTTCAGTGTGAGGGGGTAGTTTATAGAATCCTGAATTTCAACAACAATAATTGCTATATTTACGGTGCAGCTGTTGAACTGTTAATCCTTCTTTATGATGGTGTTACAGAATTGAATTATATTAAATTACTCTGAATACAGCAGGCATGACTTTTCATTTGTCTGTACTATATTAAAGATTATGTATTTTTAAATCTTGATAACACTCAACCTTTGAGTTACAAACCAGATAGTTTCATGAAAAATCATGAAACTTTAAAATATAGTAAATAATATAACCCACAAGTAATTTTTGTCAGTTTTTAAAATATTTCTTTCAGAACCTTTATAATCCCTTAATGATAAGTGATACCTGCACATGAATGCTGCCTTTGAAAGGGGTTCAGTGTTATTTAAAAAATAACAGCATGCATGTTTTTCTTCCCCTACTAAATTTAAATCAACGTACTCTCAAAGCTGAGAGGATGAAGTGAAGAATAGTGGGTGGGTGAGGAGAATTAAAAATAAGTACTGTAAAAATCCAATGGTGCCTGAAAGGATTTAAGACAAAAATGTGAGAGCGCATGAGGTAGTAGGATTACGTTGTGCCAAAGGAAATAACAAGACTGCATATTTGTTATTTCAGGAAAGATAGCACAATAGCAGGATTACTTTTATCATCCACGTTGAAGTCACAGGCCTTCCCCACTCACCACTGCTTACCACACCTACAACCCTCTTCTAAAAAAGCCACGGAAGCCGGATGTCTTTTTCGGGTATTGGGCAGAACTGCCCTGCATAGGAACACCACATGGGATGGTGACAAATTTGTCAATTTGATCCTCTTTCTTAATAATAAATATGGATTTTGAGATATACACATAAATGGAAGTTACACTCCAATATTTTCTGAGATATGTGCAGTGTTCCATGAGCTCTGAGGTGTAGCCAAATCTTTGAGACCAAGAGTGACTGTATTAGTCCATTTTCATGCTGCTGATAAAGATATACCCAAGACTGGGAAGAAAAGAGGTTTAATTGGACTTACAGTTCCACCTGGCTGGGGAGGCCTTAGAATCATGGTGGGAGGCGAAAGGCCATTCCTACCTGGTGACTGCAAGAGAAAATGAGAGAGAAGCAAAAGCGGAAACCCCTGATAAACCCATCAGATCTCGTCAGACTTATTCACTATCATGAGAATAGCACGAGAAAGGCCAGCCCCCATGATTTAATTACCTCCCCCTGGGTCCCTCCCACAACATGTGGGAGTTCTGGGCGGTACAATTCAAATTTATATTGGTGGGGACACAGTCAGACCATATCAGTGACTGTCTAGCCAGAAGGGAGATGGATGACTTGAGACTTAATATGCTCTTGAATTTTTGTGAGATATCCTTGCACTGAAAGTAACTGGGCATGTCTCTTGTAATCCTGAAAAGCCATTTTATACATCAGACACTGGGCCTCGACTTCTGGGTCTCTGTCTTGTGTTATATGTTTCTTTTCATGCCAGAGAGAAGAAATTGCAGAACGAACAAAGAAAACAGACTTTGGAGTTCTCAAGACTTAGATTCAGATTGACTCTTGCTGCTGAGCTGAATGTCAGCCACTGTCAGATCATTTAGTTTAGATAAAAATGAATTGGCCTGTCCTGTCTACTTTAGAGTTCCTAAGAGGGTTCAATAAAATCATAATGTATCAAGTACACCAATATAATCTGGATATTTGTCCCCACCCAAATCTCATGTTGAAATGTAATCCCCAATGCTGGAGCCAGGGCCTGGTGGGAGGTGTTTGGGTCATGGGGGCAGATGCCTCATGGCTTGGTGCTATCCTTGTGATAGTGAGTGAGTTTTTGTGAGATCTGGTCATGTAAAAGTGTATGGCACCCCTCACCCCCCCTCTCTCTCCCTTGCTCCCCCTCTTGCTATGTGATGTGTCTGCTCCTGCATTGTCTTCTGCCACAGGTAAAAGCTCCCTGAGGCCTCCCAGAAACTGAGCAGATGCTGGCACCTTGCTTCCTATGCAGCCTGCAGAACTGTGAGCCAATTAAATCTCTTTTCTTTGTAAATTACCCAGTCTCAGGTATTTCTTTATAGCAAAGCAAGAATGGACTAATACACATACTAAGATTTTGAAAGTAGTTAATGACTTTACAAATGTTATTGATTATGTTTCATCTCTTACCTAATCAAGTGTCTCTAGTATTGTCTTTTATATATTTTTGTCTCCCCTGTGTGGCCAGTAAAATGTAGGAGCCCAAGAAAGTGTTTAATATGTGTTTGTTGCACTTATGATCATCTTGAAGTCAAGACTTTTATGGTTCATTCAGCAGTGGGGCCATATTCAAAGAATAGTACAAACAGGAATTCAGATCATATACAAATCAAATGTAGAACTTGAAGACAAGTTTTACTAAGATCTCCTTTTTCTCATATTCTGTAGCATCTGGCAACCCTGAGGCCTGTCACTCTCCTTCCACAGAAGGACCCTCTCTCACTCTCCTTGGCCCACACCCGGTCTCTCTCCAGCCCACTCCTCATCCAGCTCTAACCGACTTCTCCCAGCTCTGCCCTGGGCTCTCCATAGTCTGCAGGTGTAGGATCCTTCTTCACTCAATGCCTGCTGGGAAGAGAAGCCCCTCTTTACCCTCACTGCCAGTTTCACAAGAATAGGTCATTCATTCCTCAGTGCCTTTTCCTCATTCTGCCTCCCAAGAACCTTAATCTTGTTCAGAAGGAGAAGAGGGGAAGGAACTAAACAGTTTTCAGAATCAGAACCTGATTTATCAGGGTTAAGGGTTGGGAAAACTTATAATAATAAATCCATATTTATTATTAAGAAAGAGGATCAAATTGACCAATTTGTCACCATCCCATGTGGAGTTCCTATGCAGGGCAGTTCTGCCCAATACCCCACAAAGACAGGGAAAAGGGTTGGGAAAACTTACCTGTATGTTTGTCATTTTTATCTTATCCCATAGAATGATTGGATGCAGAATAATAAAGCCAGCAAGTATGTATTATGTTCCTATTGGGAAGCTGGTTCTAGGAATGAGCTGAAAGGAGTA